>NT_167247.2:2503464-2706866 GCF_000001405.40 Homo sapiens
TTCAGGTAGTGTGCTCAAAGTTGAAACCGCATACAGCACAACTCAAGTTTGCATCAGACTGGGAAGCGAACTTAAGCCAGCGGTGCGTGGCCCAGGAGTGGGAAAGGAAATGGATGCCTGAAGTGGAAGAGGTGGTGCAGAGGGGGCACCGCCCATGCTGCCCTGCTTCCAACTGCTGCGCATAGGGGGCGGCAGGGGCGGTGATCTCTACACCTTCCACCCCCCCGCCGGGGCTGGCTGCACCTATCGCTTGGGCCACAGGGCCGACCTGTGTGATGTGGCCCTGCGGCCCCAGCAGGAGCCTGGCCTCATCTCTGGGATCCACGCCGAACTGCATGCCGAGCCCCGGGGTGATGACTGGAGGGTCAGCCTGGAAGACCACAGCAGCCAAGGTGAGCATTAAGCAGGGCAGCTTTGCCCCTGGGTGGTTGAAGCGCCAGGCTGGAATGAGTAAGGTCTCCACAAGACCCTGCTGCCTGCCTCCCATACTCCCATCAGATTGGATGGATAGTCGTGGTCCAGACCTTCATCTTCCCACCAGAAGTGTGCACAGTCAGAAGCTCTCTGCCAGACTGACCCTTTTTGGTCCCGTTTAGCTCATACAGGACCTGGGATATCATCAGAAAGATATCACAGTGGGGATGTTCTGAGGCCACTAGAGGCCAAGTTTAGACTTGATTCAGTTTCCAGCTTTGCTGAGGCACTCTGTTCCTGGGTTAGGGCAGTTCTATGTTGAATAATGTTTTTAATAATCTGGGCATGTCTTTCTCCGTGACTTGAGGCAGTTAGCCTCAGAAAGCCTAGATTCACATTTGAGTTTTGCCACTGCCTCTTGGTAAAGTCAGCTGTAGGAGTGTTATGGTTATTAGACTATAGTAGCCAACATTCATCTAGTGCTTACTGTTATGAGCCAGGCCCTATTTTAAGTGTATTGAATGTAGGTGGTACTAATATTATCCTCATTTACAGTAAAGGAAAATGAGGCACAAAGAGGTTAAGGAACTTGTCCAGGGCTGGGCATGGTGGTTTACACCTATAATCCAGCACTTTGGGAGGCTAAGGCAGGGTGGATCACTTGAGCTCAGGAGTTCGAGACCAGCCTGGGCAACATGGTGAAAACCTGTCTCTACCAAAAAATTAATTAATTTTTTAAAAAAAGCCTGGGCGCGGTGGCTCACGCCTGTAATCCCAGCACTTTGGGAGGCCGAGATGGGCAGATCACGAGGTCAGGAGTTCGAGACCATCCTGACCAACATGTTGAAACCCCATCTGTGCTGAAAAAAAAATACAAAAATTAGCCAGGTGTGGTGGCGTGCACCTGTAACCCCAGCTACTCAGGAGGCTGAAGCAGCAGAATCACTTGAACCCGGGAGGCGGAGGTTGCAGTGAGCTGAGATCGCACCACTGCACTCCAGCTTGGGCGACAGAGCGAGACTCCATCTCAAACAAACAAACAAACCAAAAGCTTGCCCAGGGTCACATAACTGGTAAGTGGTAGAGCTAGGATCTGAACGAGCTGGAGCTGGGGGAGAGTGAGCATGTTTGAAAACTGGACCTTAGGGCGGGGCACGGTGGCTCACGCCTGTAATCCCAGCACTTTGGGAGGCTGAGGCGGGCAGATCAGGAGGTCAGGAGTATGAGACCAGCCTGGCCAACATGGTAAAACCCTGTCTCTGCTAAAAATAAAAAAATTAGCCAGACGTGGTGGCACATGCCTGTAATCCCAGCTACTCAGGAGGCTGAGGCAGGAGAATTGCTTGAACCTGGGAGGCGGTTCAAGCTTGGGCAATAGAGCAAAACTCCATCTCAAAAAAAAAAAAAAGAAAGAAAAAAAAAGAAGAAAGAAAGAAAATTGGACCTTAGGACAGTGAGGGCAGGGATCCTTTGTAGGAAAGCACAAGAAACACAGACTTGTTCCTAGCTGACAAGGAGTGTACTGCCTGGTACCTGTCACCTGCTGAGGGGCTTAGGATGTGAGGGAGAATCTGACTACAGTTTCATATTCTTCCCCAGAAATCATACAGATTTCTCCACTCCTGACTCTGGTCATTTCTGTTTTTGTCCTCCATATTTGCCTGGTGCCCCACCATCAACAGGTACTTTGGTCAATAATGTCCGACTCCCAAGAGGTCACAGGCTGGAATTGAGTGATGGAGACCTCCTGACCTTTGGCCCTGAAGGGCCCCCAGGAACCAGCCCCTCGGAGTTCTACTTCATGTTCCAACAAGTACGAGTCAAGCCTCAGGACTTTGCTGCCATTACCATCCCACGGTCTAGGGGAGAAGCCCGGGTTGGGGCTGGTTTCCGGCCTATGCTGCCCTCCCAGGGGGCTCCACAGCGGCCTCTCAGCACCTTCTCCCCTGCCCCCAAGGCCACACTGATCCTAAACTCCATAGGCAGCCTCAGCAAGCTCCGGCCCCAGCCCCTCACCTTCTCCCCTAGTTGGGGTGGACCAAAGAGCCTGCCTGTTCCCGCCCCACCTGGGGAAGTGGGGACCACGCCTTCTGCTCCACCCCAACGCAATCGGAGGAAATCTGTTCACCGAGTGTTGGCGGAACTGGATGATGAGAGTGAGCCTCCTGAGAACCCGCCACCGGTCCTTATGGAGCCCAGGAAGAAACTCCGTGTAGACAAAGCCCCACTGACTCCCACTGGGTAAGTGGAGTCCTCACTTGGCCCTCTCAGTGTTTTACTGCTTTTCGATTCCTTGTATCCCTAGGCTGTGAGGAGGTCCCCCTGCCTGGGGGGATGGGCACGGGAGGTGGAATAGATGGAATGGCAAGACCTGGGTTAGCTCTGATAGGAAAAGAAAAATATGTGCAGGAGAACATGAGAGGTGGGGTGGGGCAGTGCTTATAAAACAACCGGAGTGAGCATGTCCTGCTTTTTACATTCATATGGCTTTAACCCCATTCTTCTAGTGCCTAAGGATGGGGAACTTTCAGGCTCACACTAGAGGTTTTTAGGCCCACCCTATGTGTTTTTAAGGACAGAGTCCAGGCTCACCTTAGTTCTCAGACCACTGTGCCTCTGTGGCCTCACCCTATGACCAGCCATAGGGTGGCAAGGTCTAGGCCTTCTCCTACAGGTTTCCGGTGACCCTTGTGTCTGTGTCACTTCCTTCAGAAATCGACGTGGCCGTCCTCGGAAGTACCCAGTGAGCGCTCCCATGGCTCCCCCTGCAGTTGGGGGCGGGGAGCCCTGTGCAGCTCCTTGTTGCTGCCTGCCCCAGGAAGAGACAGTGGCCTGGGTTCAGTGTGATGGCTGTGACGTCTGGTTCCATGTGGCCTGTGTTGGCTGCAGCATCCAGGCTGCCAGGGAGGCCGACTTCCGATGCCCAGGGTGCCGGGCTGGCATTCAGACCTAAGGTCCACCGCCAAGGCACCATCGGACACACCTGCCCATGAGTAGACACAGCAGCGAGCAAATAGGTCTGATAAATACCCCCCTTCCCTTCCCTCCCCAAGAGGGAATGACTACAGGGAAGAAGGATGGATTGATGTGGACTCATTCAGGGCCTGGAGCAGACCCTGGTGGCCAAGACAGAAGAGATGGTTTCCTGCCAAAGATATTGCCACCTCCAGGAAATTGCCAGTGAGCTGGAAGTTCCCACTATTACAAGCCATAAGGCCATGTTGCCATGGACACCAGAATATCTGTAGTCAGAGCACCTATCAGTTGCAAAAGCCATGCCTGCAACCGATGGAAAATGTAAGAGGGAGTTCTTAAGGTTCTTGGTGGCATCACCCAAGGCATTCTGGGAAAACCTAGGGCCTGGCCCCAAAACTTCCCTACTCTGTGGCTAGTCCTGCTGCCAACAAAATCGTAGCGACCTGGCTTTTCACAGCTTTGCTTTTATTTCCAAGTCAAGGACAAGCCGCTTCATTCACTCCTGGGCATTTACTCTTCTTGTGGGTCTGTGATATTCCTTGCTTTCCAGGGAGAATGTGCTTGGCAAGGTCTGGAGAACTAATTCAGAATCTTAGGGGAAGGGGAGAGATGGAAATACAAACCTGCTTACTGGAAAGGTGCAAATATATGGGTTGAGCTGGAGGTAGGAATACAGGTAATTAAGGTTTCTAGTTTAAGGGAAAACAGATCTATTGCCATTTAAATAAGGTAACTGGGATTTGGTTAAGTTCACAAAGATAGCAGAAGATTTATTTACAGGCTTCACCTGTACTGTCAGGGCAAGAGAAAGCCTGGTAAACCAGCTACAGCAGTTTACCAGTGTGATGGCTGTGACACAGCTCCACTCCACGGGTGGACACAGCAGAGGGCAACTGGGCTGGCCTGGTTCAGTGTGAATCAAACCGCTTAACCCACACATGGTACATGTGATTTTCTTTTGTGAGCCTTACACCAAGCCAAACTATTGTCAAAGCATCATTTCTATAGAAATAAAGCCTTATCTTGACCTGTTCTATTAAAACCTGCCACATCCGCCCTTTCCTACCTAGATTTAATGAGCCCAAGTTTTTTTACATGGAAGAAATGACTCTGGGGCAAAGACCCCTAATGAACTAGTGGCAGAGCCAGGAATAAAACTTGAGTAACTAATGAGTCACTTATGGGCAGAGTATGCAAAAACCTTAAGTGGAAACCAAATAGACCCTGGTATCAAGAAAGCACAAAGTATTAATAGAAGTTTCTGGTTGGGGTGATCTAGGTTCAACAGAAATAAGATGATTTCTAAGTATAAAGCCATTTAAGAATTCCAGAGTAGGGTGGGAAAGCAAAAAGCCAGCTCTGAACAGGTAACAGCTACATGGTGACTGAGTCTATGGGCAAAAGTTCTTGCATCACAGGCTTTTGGGAACTAGCCTATCACAGGGCCCTGTACAAATAAACTTGGCTGCAATCCCAGCTCTCCCTCTGATGTTGTGTGACCTTAAGGAGTGTAAATGGCACCTTAGTTTCAGGGTCACTTGGGTATGAGCATTGGATATTCCCATCCCCACCTCAGTAACTGAAGGACAAACCAAGATAAGTGTGTCTATCTACTGTGTCCCAAGCTTCTTTATTTAAGAAAAAAGTGATACATGATGTGGGATTAAAATCAAGAGCATCATTGAACTTCACCTTCCCTCCAACCAGTTGCCCCAAACTCCCCTGCCCCCACCCTTTGTGTTCCCAATTCCTTCCTTAGTGAATGAAGAACTTAATCCCAAAAACCCTGGCACAAACTCCAGGTTTTCTTTCCCTAGCTCCTCCCCTCCCCCTGTCCCCCATTCCTAGAAGGGCAGGCACCTCAGTTTGAATGCATGGGAGAGCCCAGAGTGGTGACAGAGACAGGGGGAAAGGCTTCCCCCTCAGGGAAAGGGACCGAGGAGTACAGTGCAGTGAAGTGAGGGCTCCCATAGCCTGGGGTACCAAAATGGGGCCCTGGGGCCAGAGGAAAGGACACTGGTCCCCCTGAGAAAGGAGACCCAGCAGCCTCAAAATCCTCTCGTTGTGCATAGTCGCTGCTTGATCGCTTGCCCTTCTGGCGCCGGTTACAGAACCACACTCGGACCACCTGCCAGTGAATGACAGAAAGGAGAATGACATTAGACAATGAGCTGAGAGACGGGCCTGACTCTGCTTGGACATTCTATCCAAAGCCAACAGCCCTAGAGCAGTTAGAGGAGGACATTAGAGAATGAGCTGAGACAGGCCTGACTGCTTGGACATTCTGTCCAAAGCCAACAGCCCTAGAGCAGTTGGAGGAGCCAGAGCTAGGGAAAGCGAGGTGGTGACAGGGGAAAGAGATGGAGCCCGCAGAGAGACATGGCACTCACATCCTTCTCGAGCCCAAGCTGCTGGGCGATGTGGCTGATCTGCTGCAGTGTGGGTTTCGGGCACTGCAGGAACAAATTCTCCAGGTTGCCTCTCACTCGGTTCTCGATACTGGTTCGCTTTCTCTTTCGGGCCTGCACGAGGGTTTCTGCTTTGCATATCTGTGCAGGTGGGAAGGGGGTGACAAGGGCAAGCTTTGGACTTGCTGAGTAACAGCATCACAGGGGTCTGTGACTAGATGTGTCAGCAGAGCCAGGTGGTGGTGTGAAAAGGCAGGATCCTGGAAGGGTTGGCTCTGGACCTTATCCCAGCAGAACTGAGGAATTTCACTCCATCCCACTGAGAACCACTGCACCAAAGACGGAGAGCTACGAGCCAGTGATGGAAGCAATGGAAATTAGGCCAAGAAAGGGAAGGTCCCCGGGTATCCCCCTCCCACCCTTACCTCCTGAAGATTTTCATTGTTGTCAGCTTCCTCCACCCACTTCTGCAGCAAGGGCCGCAGCTTACACATGTTCTTGAAGCTAAGCTGCAGAGCCTCAAAGCGGCAGATGGTCGTTTGGCTGAATACCTTCCCTGGGGGAGGCCAGTCAAAAGAGAAGCAAAATGAGGGAGCACGCAGGGCCCTTGTGACCCTGAGATCCAAGCTTACCACCTCTTCCCAGAGGGAGCTCAAAGCCCAAGCATCTTCTCCCTCTCCCTACTCCTCTTCATGGGTGAGGGTAGAGTCTGCCCCTGCCCCTCCCCACTAGGTTCAGGGATACTCCTTAGAGGGGAGATGCGGTCAGAATCTGCAGAGGGGAACCCACCAAATAGAACCCCCAGGGTGAGCCCCACATCGGCCTGTGTATATCCCAGGGTGATCCTCTTCTGCTTCAGGAGCTTGGCAAATTGCTCGAGTTCTTTCTGCAGAGCTTTGATGTCCTGGGACTGGATTTTAAAAGGCAGAAGACTTGTAAGAACATAAACACACCAGTTATCAATCTCCCCTTTCCATTCGGGATTCAAGAACCTACGTGTGGCCCCAAGGAATAGTCTGTAGAAGTGCATCTGCCTTCCAAGCTGCCCACCTAACTTCTAGAAATAACCTACCCACAAATGTCATTCACCCATTCCCTGTTCACTGACTCATGCATGTAACAAAGGACTACTCTTCCCCCAGAAACTGGCACATCCAAGGGATGCAGAGCATGGTGAAAGGACAGAAAGAGAGACCCTGGCCTCGAGGAGAACACCTGTCAGGTTATGAAGGTTAGAAGTTCTTTGCTGGGCGCGGTGGCTCATGCCTATAATTCCAGCACTTTGGGAGGCCGAGGTGGGCAGATCACGAGGTCAGGAGTTCAAGACCAGCATGGCCAACATGGTGAAACCCCGTCTCTACTAAAAACACAAAAATTAGCTGGGCACGGTGGCACGCACCTGTAATCCCAGCTACTCAGGAGGCTGAGGCAGGAGAATCACTTGAACCCGGGAGGCGGAGGTTGCAGTGAGCTGAGATCACGCCACTGCACTCCAGCCTGGGTGACAGAGCAAGACTCTGTCTCAAAGAAAAAAAAAAAGAAGATAGTTCATTTAATACCTGCAAAATTCTCTCACTCAAGTATCACCCCCAGTTTAAGGATGTTTTGAGATTAGAGAAATAGATAAGCTGCTAAGTTCTGGGTTAATTAAAAAGGAAGAGCATCATGTCTCAGAAGCTAAATTCAGTATATACTCTCCCCAGCTTGCTTTGAGGGTCCCACAAACTATAACATGGCATGCATACACACAAACACAGCAAAAAAGTAACAGGTGTCATAAGAATGGATAAAGTGCTTTGTGTGTACTTACTCCTCATTTTTTAAATTGATTATCCCTCATCTTTACTGTATCTTTTTCACTATAGAGGCATCCTAATTGATTTTTAAATTCAAGAGATTTATCGAGCACCTTCTATAAGCCAGCGGCTATACAAAGTGGACAAAGAGCCCTGACATCCAGCATGACAGAAGTGCTATTCGGCACTTGTTCTTCAAGTTGCCCACTTGGATCTCTTCCAAGTGCACTTTCCTTTTTTCCCTGCCCTATAACTTTTTAATAATAAACTTCCACTCCTGCTCTGAAAAATAAAAAAGTAAATAAAATAAAAAATGGCCAGGCACAGTGGCTCATGTCTGTAAATCCTAGCACTTTGGGAGGCCAAGGTGGGCAGACTGCTTGAGCCCAAGAGTTAGAAAGCAGCCTGGGTAACATAGTGAGACCCGTGCCGCCCCTTCTCCCACCCCTGCTGCCTCTATTTAAAAAATATATATATATTATGGAAAAAAGCAAAGCAGTCCGGGCGCAGTGGTCATGCCTGTAATCCCTTCACTTTGGGAGGCCAAGGTGGGTAGATCACTTGAGGTCAGGAGTTCAAGACTAGCCTGGTCAACATAGTGAGACTCTGTCTCTACTAAAAATACAAAAATTAGCTGGGCATCATGGCGCTCCCCTATAATCCCAGCTACTCAGGAGGCTGGGGCAGGAGAATTGCTTGAACCTAGGAGGTGGAGTTTGCAGTGAGCCAAGATCGCACCACTGCACTCCAGCCTGAGGGACAGAGTGAGACTCCATCTCAAAAATTAAAAAAAAAATAAAGCAGTCTATAGGAGTAGGGTAAAGGAGGGAAGGAGATTATGGAGGAGGGTGACACTTTTAAAGACAGAGAAGGTGATTGTTTGAGCAAAGGACAAGAGTCTAATGTGGCAAGGCCCTGAAGTGGGCCTTCCAGAGCCCAAAGCTGGTCTGGTGGCTAGGTAGATCCTGTTGCAGACATAGTGACTTTGTTTTAGTCCAAGTGAAATGATCTCTCACCCTTTTTCTCCCCCCCCAAGACGGAATCTCGTTCTATCGCCCAGGCTGGAGTGCTGTGGCGTGATCTTGGCTCACTGCAATCTCCGCCTTCTGGGTTCAAGCTATTCTGCCTCAGCCGCCTGAGTAGCTGGGACTACAGGCACCCACCACCATGCCCGGCTAATTTTTGTATTTTTAGTAGATATGGGGTTTCACCATGTTGGCCAGGCTGGTCAGGAGACCTCAAGTGATCTGTCCACCTTGGCTTCCCAAAGTGCTGGGATTACAGGTGTGAACCACCGCACCTAGCCTCACCTTTTTTTTTTTTTTTTTGAGAGTTTCGCTTTTGTTGCCTAGGCTGGAGTGCACTGGCGCGATCTCGGCTCACCGCAACCTACATCTCCCAGGTTCAAGCGATTCTCCTGCCTCAGCTTCCTGAGTAGCTGAGATTACAGGCATGCGTCACCACGCCCAGCTAATTTTGTATTTTTAGTAGAGATGGGGTTTCGCCATGTTGGTCAGGCTGGACTCGAACTCCCAACCTCAGGTGATTCGCCTGCCTCGGCCTCCCAAAGTGCCTGGCCACACCTTTTAAAACACTGACTCTAGTTGACGTGTTGGCCACAGACAGTAGGGAGGAAGCAGTATAATTTGAGAAGCTACTGCGGTAATCCCAGCAGAGATGATGGTGGCTGAGGCCAGGGTTAGGTTGTGATTGATTCAGGATGTTTCTTAAGGATAGGATGTAGGACGTGAAAGAAACTGAGGATGACTGGGTTTGGCCTTGAGCAACTGGGTGATCAGGGTGGAGCAGTTCAGGGAGCCATCACAAGAGACAGAAAACGCGGTAGTCATCTGGTGTCTAAATGGCATTTAAGCCTTGAGGGTGGGTGAGAGGAAGGAAGGGTAGATAGAGCAGAGGTTGAAGGACTGAGCCCTGGGGCATGCCATATGAGGCTGCCGGCGGACAGAGGTGCACAGCTAGTGAGAAAAAAACAAGGCCTTTTTGTAGTCCTGAAGCCTCAAGGAAGTGTTTCAATGGTGCTTGATCATATCAATTTCAAATAGGCTGTTTTCATCCCCAACTTCTGCTCAGCCAATAACTCAAACTGATAAATGCCCTCTGCTATCCTGGATTTTCCAAATTCTGTTTTGGGGTTTTGGAATAAACACTGGTCCAAATCCTCGCTTCATCATTTAGCAGTTAAAACCCGTTAAATAGGATAATAATACCTCCCCCTAGGAGATTTTGTGCTGGTTAATGAGATAATGATGTATAAACGGAGCACACAGCCAGGCACTTAGGAAGTGGACCACAATTGCCAGCCATTATCATTCAAGGCTCAGCAGTGACCTCCTGCGAAGAGGTTGGGGCTTCTCGGTCACTCCAGAAACCAGTCACACCTTTCTGTGAGGTCTCAAGGCTTAGTATTTAATCTCTAATTGCTTACACTTGTCGCCTTGGAGGACTGGAAGATACATCTTTAATAGTCCTCAGCAGGGCTGGATGCCTTCAATCCCGCAGCAGCTCTATATTTGCAAATGGCCTGGAGAAATCTCTCACCATTTTTCTTGTTTACAACTTTGGAACTGAGGCTGAAGTCAATCAAAATCCAGCTTTCTACAAGGGGTGCCAGGGTGTGCACCTTAACACAGTGGCCAGTCATTGGCCTGAGGCAGAGATCCGGGGAAGACAAGCCCTATACTTGACTGGAGGTAAACCCAGCTCACAACGCGCACACACACAGCCCAAACAGGAGATCCTATCAGAAACGAGTCACACCCTAGACTTTCAGGAACAATAATCCTGGAATGAGCACTGTTTTTACCCTCAGGCTATGCTTAACCCTAAGGCCAAAATCTTGGGTCTGATAAGGGTCAAATTTTCAAGCAGGACTAAGGGTGGGAAAAGGGGCTCAAACCAACCCCAAGCTGGGTCTGGTGCTGGGCCAGTAATGAGTGACCAGACCCTGGGCAGGCCTAGGAGATGTGAGAGACCCTGACAAGGGCTGGGCCAGACAGAGCAAAGGCCAGCCTGGGCCAGCTTCCGACTCTCCCAGGCCGCTCTGCCCTCACCTGCAGTTGTCTCTTCGAAATCCAGCTTCCAGTTCCCACCTGGCCCCTGCCTGCCAGGGCTGCCTGCAGTTGATACACACCCCTCCCTGGCCAGGGCAGCTGACCCTGCCTGCTCCTCTCCTGGGTGCCAGGTCTGGGCAGCTGCAGGTGACCACTTCCCCATCAGGCTGCCCTGTCATGACCACCTCCCCACACCCCAACCCCGTCGAAGCTCACTTGCCTCCTCCGGGTTTTGCTCCAGCTTCTCCTTCTCCAGCTTCACGGCACCAGGGGTGACGGTGCAGGGCTCCGGGGAGGCCCCATCGGAGTTGCTCTCCACCCCGACTCCTGCTTCGCCCTCAGGCTGAGAGGTCTCCAAGCCGCCTTGGGGCACTAGCCCCACTCCAACCTGGGGCCCACAGTACGCCATCCCCCCACAGAACTCATACGGCGGGGGGCATGGGGGAATCCCCCACACCTCAGAGCCTGGCCCAACCCCCGGCCCGATTCCTGGCCCTCCAGGAGGGCCTTGGAAGCTTAGCCAGGTCCGAGGATCAACCCAGCCCGGCTCCGGCCCCCCTGGCCCATCACCTCCACCACCTGGAGGGGGCGAGAAGGCAAAATCTGAAGCCAGGTGTCCCGCCATGGGGAAGGAAGGCGCCCCAAGCCGGGGGCCTGGTGAAATGAGGGCTTGCGAAGGGACTACTCAACCCCTCTCTCCCTCCCCAGTCCCACCCACTAGCCTTGACCTCTGGCCCCGCCCCCTGGATGGGTGGAGGAGAGGGAGGTGGGGGGAGAAACTGAGGCGAAGGATGTTTGCCTAATGGTGGTGGCAATGGTGTCTGTGGAAGGGGAAAACCGGGAGACACAACTGGCGCCCCTCCAGGACCTCAGTGCAGGTCCCCCACAGAAACTTTTTTTATTTTTATTTTTTAAGACAGGGTCTCACTTTGTTGCCCAGACTGGAGTGCAGTGGAGTACAATGATGGCTCAATGTAGCCTCGATCTACTGGGCCAAAGCAATCCTTCTGCTCCAGCCTCCTAAGTGGCTGGGACTACAGGCTTGGACCACTGTGCCCTGTTAGTTTTTTTATTTTTAGTAGAGATGGGGCCTTGCTATGTTACCCAGGCTGGTCTTGAATTCCTGTCCTCAAGAAATCCTCCCGCCTCTGCCGCCCAGTGTCATGATTAAAGGCGTGAGCCACCACACCCAACTTTCAACTCCCAACCCGCTCCCTGGCACTCTCTCAGGCTCTGCACATCCCAGCTGTCTGGAATCACTCCCACACCTCCATGTTCTTCAGGAACCCAGGTGCTTGACCCCCTCTCCACAGACCTCTGGCACTGTGCCTTCAGGGGCCAGTCACCCTCTCAGCTCCTCAAATTTATTGAATGTGTGTGTGGCGCTATCCCTCAATGCATCAACAGCCATAAGCACAATGGCCAGCTGCTCCCTTATGCCTTCCCCCGATCCATCCAGAATCCTAGGCATTCCCATCCCGATACTGGCCAAATCCAGCCACCCCGCAGCCTGGGTGCCTGGCACCATCTGCCCAGCCTGCCAAATTTCACCCCATCTTCAAGAGTAGACTGCCAGACAAGGCCTCCGTGCTATATCCCCCCACCCCCCATCCCCCCACCCCTCCGTCTTCCAGAATCAGACTCCAGACTCTCCTCATCTAACAGACTAAGGGGTTGGCCCCTACTTCCCCTTCAAGGGACCAGACTTTGGACTGATTGGGCCTCAGTTTCCCAACCTTTGCTGAAACAGAGTGATAAGACACCCGCTTTGGGCCCCCTCCACTATGGAACCTGCACATCAGGTTCCTTGCTCCCCTCTCAACCAAAACTCAGACATCTAATACCACGGTAGGCCCCGTTCTCCCTCCCCCACCTCCCTGGCCCAGGCCTCCAGCCCTAGGCCCTGGGTGGGGAAAACCAGGGGGTGGGGGGTGTGGAGAAAAAATATCTGACTTCAGGTTCAAAGAAGCCTGGGAGGGACTGGGGGAAGGGGGCAGGACAATGGCCTTGGCTGGACAATCCCGGTCCCCAGAGGGGGCAGCTCTAACCCTAAACAAGTGCTCAACCCTTGAATGGGCCTGGATGGCTCCCCTGGGGACTGCTTCCTGCTCCCCAACCCCCCAGTCCCAATCCCCTCACACAGAATCCCCTTCAGAGACGCTAAAAGGAGCTCCAGCAACCCCCCTCTGCAATCCCCTCAAAGACTGAGCCTCAGACGGGCACCAAGGGCCCCCTACAGGGACCTAGGTATCTAGTTCCTCCTTCCTCTGGGGGACTCAGGCGTCCAGCTTCATCGTGCATCCCTCCCCGAGCCCGGAAGATTGAGGGATGTGCTTTGTTTAGTGGGGCTGGCTGGCAGAAAGACGCAGAGGAGGTGGCGAGTGATTTGTGGAGGGGTGCAGGAAGGCTGCCCTAAGCTCCCCTTCAGGGTCTGTTTTTCTGGGCCTGGCCTGAGTATCCTGAGGCTCATGCTGCTGGTCTAGTGCTTGATTCTGTTTGCAAGAGAATAGCCAACGGAATGCCTGTCTGTGAGGGATGATGTTTGTCTGTCTGCTCCCAAAACTTGATCTCAGTGGAGGGCCTGGGGTAAGTCTGGGGGCTCCAGAGGGGGCTCTGGGCCAGGGCTCCCCACAGCTTCGAAGGCCAGAAGGCCAGGTCTGGACTGGGCACGCTGACCTCTGTCGACTTAAGTAAGGCTTCTCATTGCAGGCTCCAGGCTCAGCCCTGCCTGGGCTTGTCTGCTGGGGTCAGTGGCTCTGTCTGCCTTCTAAGGGGATGGGTGTCCCGTGGCCAGCTGTCTTCATCTTGGTGGCATCCGTGAGTCTTTTGAGACTTTTCCCCCACTCTTATGTTGCCTCTGTTCGTGTGCCCATCTCCTGTCTGTGTAGACTTTTTGAGCCTAATTGTATGCGTGCATTTCAATACCTGCCACAGGTCTGCCGGAAGGTCTACAAGGCAGTGGGGTTGCAGCTGTGTTCACTTCTCGGCCTTTAACTGCCCAAAAGGCAGGTAGATTATGGGGCCTGGTGGGGGTGGGAGGAACATGCTTCGGAACAGGAGGAGGCCCCTCCCCAGCCATCTCAATCCCCAGGACAGAACCATCACGGCACCTTTGTCATGCATCTCTCTGCTGTCTGCCAAGAAGACGGCCTCTCAGAGGAGGGGGAGGGGCAGGCCTGGGATTTGGCTGGAATCTCCACACCAGTGTTTCTCAGCTTGCCATCCTCCAGGTTCCCCAAAAGCGCTCTTCCCAAGCCAGTCCAGAGAGTCCCTGCTGCCCATTTTCCTAGTGGCTCCTAAAACACCTTCCCCAATTTCCCCACTCAACACCACCCTCTTGTTTTTAGATTATAATTTGTACTGTAGGTGGTGTATTTCTGGCCTGGGCAAGAGGCCCATTCCCGAGAGGGACGCAGACAAGGGGTGGGTGCCTGGGTCCCTGGCTGCCTTGTGGCTGGATATGAGCCCAGTCAGGGGTCAGCCTCCTGCATGCCTAGACTCCTAGCCGGCCCCCTTCTGGGGTGCTCAGGGCTGATGGGAGGTTGAGGCAGGCTTTCCTTCCTTCTCACTGTCCTGTTATGCCTGAAGGGTAGGTGGCTTCACTTCAGCCAAGGCCAGCTCTCCCAGGCCCCAACCAGTGCTGGGGGCCACCGTTGGGCCTGGAGGAGACTGGAAGCCAGGCTGAGTCATCAGAACTGGTCCCATGATTCCCTGGGTTTTAGAAAGTCACCATAAAAAGATACTTCACACACACCTTTATTATTACAGTGCAATGTCAAGACCCTTCACAGAGCACTGCCAGGGGACCCAGGTGAGGCCCACCTCTCCCCACCAGGTGTGGCGGCTGGCATGGCTGGGTGGGGAGAGGTGAGATGAGCAGCCTTGCTGCTCTCAGCCCAGCCTTCCCTTCCCCTCACTGGGAGATGAGGTGCTGTTTGGTTGAAAAACCAGCTGAAAAAACTCAGTTGGGACCAATAGAGACTTGCTCTCGACCCGGTCTAGGAAACCACTTATTTTGACTTCCGAGGCCTGTCAATCTGAAGGCAAAAGAAAGGGAAGAAATGGAGGGCTGAGGGTTCAGGCTTGGCCCACCTTGGGAGATGATCTCCCTTAATAGCAATTTAGACAAATTCCTTTGCTCACTGTGGACCAAGTCCCCTCTTCTCAACAAAGGACCCTCTGATCTCCCCCATGAGACCTGCAAACTGAGGTCACCTTATCCCAAATCCAGACACTCTTACCTCAAATAGAGGAGTCAACTCTCTAGCTGTAGCCTGTAGGGAGTCAGAGGTGAGAGCAAAAGGAGTGGGTGAGCTGGGAGGATTGGTCAGGAACAAACTAGGAGGCATGGACCAGGTTCTAAGTCCTGGCTCTGACTCCCTGGCTAATGGCACCTCCCCCTCCTGTGCCTCAGTTTCCTCACCTAGTAAAGAGGATTTGGACTCAATGAACTCTAAACTTCCTTCCAACTAAGACATAAAATTGCTGCCCCGCTCTCATATGCCCTCCCATCTACCCACCCCACTTACTTGACATGGGAATGTAGACTTCTCTGCACACCTGTGAAGAGAAATGGGGGTAGGAAAGCTGGGAGTGGTGTTCAATGAGAAGTTGGCATAGGCCTCCCTGTACCCTGCCACCTACCTCCAAGCATCCTTCCTGGGGAATCTGGCAGGTTTTCCCCTGAAGTTTGATCAAGAGATATAGGAGGAGGCCGGGAGCGGTGGCTCATGCCTATAATCCCAGCACTTTAGGAGGCTGAGGCGGGCGGATCACTTCAGATCAGCAGTTCGAGACCAGCCTGGCCAACATGGTGAAACCCTGTCTCTACTAAAAATACCAAAAGGTGGTTTTTTTGTTTGTTTGTTTTGTTTTTTTTGCATGTGGTGGTGCATGCCTGTAATCCCAGCTACTCAGGAGGCTGAGAAACAAAAATCGCTTGAACTCAGGCAGCAGAGGGTGCAGTGAGCTGAGATCGAGCCACTGCACTCGGCAACTGCATTGCTACATGCCTCCAAACCCCAGCTGCTCATCTGAGGTTGCACAGAGACTCAGCATCAGCCTGGTGCATCACCAGACAGGAGAGCCTATGCTCACGTCAAAGGGATCACAGCAGACTGCTGGCTCTGGGCATCTGAGCAGCGCCATGCAAGGGGGCAAGTGGCTTAGGGTTCCAGGGACTCAGGGGCTGGGGCAGCCCATCCCTCAGCTAAGTTAGCTGGACACTGGAGGATAGAAGTCAAGGGCCTAGCATGTTGGGATGGCTCCTCTCCAGGGGCTTTGCAGAGAGTCCCATGCACCAAGGGGGCTAGCGGGACAGGGAAAAGTGGTGGCAAAGACCTCCCAGACAAACTGGCTGCCTCTGGTCCTATCAAGCTGCCGTACATCCTCCACACCAGGGCTTTAGGCACCATTCCACTGTGTTCCATGGTGACTGTAGGTGATGCCCCACCTTGAGAGCCCTTGGGTGCTCAGCCCTGGGTCAGAACTTGAACACCAAGTGGGAAAAGGGCTGACCAAGCACGGGAGAGGGAAGGAAAGCAGAGTGGCTAGGACGGTCAGCAACAGAGCTGTGTTCATTTAGGACATGGGTATTGAAATGGAGTTTTGAAGGCTGGCTGAGGGGCCTGCACTCCATCCCTCCCACAGTGCCCTCAGCTCCTCCACCTTCCCCACATGAACCAGTCCGCACCTATCACACCTACGGTGGGCCGTGGTCCCACCCCAGCTTTCAGGTATTTCCGGAGAGGGTAGACGCAGCTCTAGGTCAGGAAGGATTGTTTCCTTCCCTTCTCTCCTTCTGCAGCTCTGCTTGGTTCTGGCTGGCTTTTGCTGGAGTTGAAAGACTCAAGTGTGCTAAGAAGGGAGTCCTGGCCATCACAGTTGTAGTGCCAGTGTCCCCAGCTGCTCCGGTTCCCCAACAACTCACAGACAACCGTGGTCTGGAGGGTGTGTGACTCTGAAAAGCCAAAACCCCAGAACTCCAAAGTTACAAGAGGTCAAAACAGTGGCTCTCTCCACCTCCGCTCCTACCTCCTCCCAAAATGCATGAAATTCCCTTGCTCTGACTGATAAACCCTCACTCATTCTCCAAGACATATCTTCTCTGTCAACCACATCCCCACCAAAGTCACACTGCACCCGCTCTCCCTCCCCTGCAGCATGTGGCTCCCTCCCATGTACCCAGCATGCACTGTTCAGCCACATATACTCACCCACCCTCCTGAAGGCCCAGCACAGACAGCATTGTGTTTAAATCCCTGATCTACACATCAGCTACTGGCTATATGCCCACGGCAAATGTAATGGAACCTCTCCAAGCCTTGCTTTCCTCATTTGGCAACTGGACACAATTATAGTCTCTACCACACAAGTAAAGATAACATGAGATAATCCTTGCCAGTGTTAATGTAGGACCTACCAAGAAGAATTCAAGAACTAGTAGCTGCTATTGTAAGGTGTATTATTGGTAACAGCAAAATGAACAGCACTTACTAGGCTTAAATGTTTGCTAGATGAAAAAAAATGATATTGGTTAGAAATATATTTTGCTCAGGTCACCAGGTTTCTTATTAACTACTGGTGGTGGCGAGAGGTGAATGTCAGAAAAAGGCCAGTTTTTCCCATTTCCTGGATTTGAGAAAGTTGGATAAGTTTTTTTCACCTGGCCGGGTGCGGTGGCTCACGCCTGTAATCCTAGCACTTTGGGAGGCCCAGGCAGGTGGATCACGAGGTCAGGAGTTTGAGACCAGCCTGGCCAACATGGTGAAACCCCATCTCTACTAAAAATATAAAAATTAGCCAGGCGTGGTGGCAGGCGCCTGTAATCCCAGCTACTCAGGAGGCTGAGGCAGGGGAATCACTTGAACCTGGGAGGCGGAGTTTGCAGTGGGCTGAGATCGTGCCATTGCACTCCAGCCTGGGCAACAAGAGCAAAAAAAAAACAGACTTTTTTCACCTGAAGGGAAGGCTTGGGAGCTTAAGGACAATGGCTTATTTCTTAGAGACCTAGTCCTTGACTGAGGGAAAGGGTGAGGGTCTTATACTTCTTTTTTTTTTTTTTTTTTTTATTGAGACGGAGTCTTGCTCTGTCACCCAGGCTGGAGTGCAGTGGCACGATCTCGGCTCACTGCAAGCTCCGCCTCCCGGGTTCATGCCATTCTCCTGCCTCAGCCTCCCGAGTAGCTGGGACTACAGGTGCCTGCCAGCGCACCCGGCTAATTTTTTTTGTATTTTTAGTAGAGACAGGGTTTCACTGTGTTAGCTAGGATGGTCTCGATCTCCTGACCTTGTGATCCACCCGCCTCGGCCTCCCAAACTGCTGGGATTACAGGCGTGAGCCACTGCGCCCGGCCAGAGGGTCTTATACTTCTGTCCTACTCTTGCTAATACCTAAGACCCAGTCCTTTTGGCACCACTGGGTACATAAAACAAGGTTTGAGTCAGGGATGAACTCCCCCAGGCAGGAGGAGATAGCATCAGGATCTCAGTGAAGTGGGGTGGTATCTGAGTGCCTACCTAGCACAGTGCCCCACGCAGAGCTCAATGCATCTTAGCTGAACAATAACGAATGCAGCTGCACATCTTCAGGCCCATATTGAGCTCTTCTCTCTTTTCTGCCTCCTCCTGAGCCCCCAAGCCCAATTACCTTGGCTCTGGTTGTCGTGTGCCATGATGCTCCCCAGGATGGTGACAAGGTGCTGGGCTCTGGCCTTCAGTCTGAGAACCAGCTTCTCCCAAGCTCTTGGGTCCCTGGCCTGAGCCCAGGATGCACGGGGCTCTGCCCACCTGCCC
The DNA here is from genome assembly GCF_000001405.40 of Homo sapiens. Classification (NCBI taxonomy): domain Eukaryota; kingdom Metazoa; phylum Chordata; class Mammalia; order Primates; family Hominidae; genus Homo; species Homo sapiens. Next base: position 2,521,924 of record NT_167247.2, read on the forward strand.
TCCTTGCAGCATCATAAGAAAGGGTGGTCATCCAGGTAGCCTGAGACTTCGTAAGGGGCTTGCCCAGGGCTGGGCTGGGAAAGAGTAATGAAGTCATAGCACAGAGAGTGGGTTGCTGAGGAAAAGAGAATGATGGGAAAAGGTTATTTTCCAACAGGAGTCTTACCTGGGAGACACTGCACAAGGTGCCTGTATGGTGAGGCTGTGTGACTATTTTTGAGGGCACCAAAGGAGTGGGTAAGGGGAATGCAGACTGAACAATGGGAAGGGAATCTCTCGTTTCCCTGCAGGGCCTCATCTAGGCTCATTGTTTTAAATAGTAATGACTCCCAAATCTCTTCATCCCTGTTCTTCACATTGGTATATCCAACTACCTACCTGTTGGTCATCTGGACCTAAGGTTCCATATGGCCTTAAATCTGACACATCTAAAACTGAGTATTTCCTCTTGGCCCTGGCCATGGAACAACCTGCCTCTCATCCTATATTCCTGGTGAGTGGCATCATCCTCTCACCTGCCTGCTTACTCAAGCCAGAACTGGGTTGAGGTGTGGGCAACTACCGGATGTCATGTAGCCTCCTGGCACAATAGCATGAAGTGAGCTGAGAGGTCATGGAACAAAAAGGCTCACAGACCAAATGTAAATGCTCAAATAACATCGTTTATTAAATAAATGTAAAACACATTCTGAGAAGCAGGAGGCAGGTGCTGGGGTGGGTCAACACACGGGAGAGGGGGCAAGTTGGGTGGAATGATCGATCACACCAGCTGAACTGTGGGTCATGCAGTGTGCATCCATCCTGTCAAATTGAAACCTCCTGCATCCTGAGTGCCTCATGTCTCATGTATTTAGGGTACCGTGAATATTTAGTGCCTCCTTGGTCTTTCTGTCCCTTTTGATCTCTGTACACACGAATACGTTGTACTATCTACAGATGACTAATTTAGTTATCTGTGTGTAACACTTCTTTTGAGTTTATTGTTTTCCTGTCTTCTACAGCAGAATTGGATATTCCCAAACAATCTGCAAGTCTGGTGTTTATCCTAGAGTGCTGCCTCCCTTCACACCCCCTAGTTTCAAACAGTCAGCAAGCCCTGCCCATTTTTAACTTCCTGTTTCTCCAATCTGGACATTCCTCTACCTCCACCAAACCAGCCCATAGTATGGCTTGCTTGGATTATAGCCAGAGTCTTTCTAACTGGTCTCTCTCCCTCCAGTCTTAAGCATATAAAATCTGTCCTCCTTGATATAATCAGAGTGATCTATCCAGAAATACATATCAGACCGCATACCTCTCTGCTCTTCCTCTAAGGATTCCCCTTTTGTCCTCGGGATGGTTTCCAAGCTCCTTAGCAAGCTAAACAAGGCCCCTTGAAGGCTGCCGTCTCCACCCTCATCTCCCACCACACCCTGCCTTCACCTGACCCACTTGGAACAGGAAGGTTGGAGCACCTCCATACTCCTGCAGTTCCACCTCCCAGTGCCTTCCTGAGATGGTCCCCTGAAGGGAAGACCCATCCTTCCCTTCTCCAAACACCACTTAAACCACTTAAACCCTTTCATTAAACCCTTACCCTGGCCTCAAACCATCTACCACGCTGCTGTACCCCTTTATTTCAGAGACGGCTCTGACTTTCACTCAGAGGTGACACTCACCCTACCACTTGTCTATGGCTGTGCATCCCTCTTGGGGCCATCTCTTGTGGACAAGAATATGAGCCACATTCTTCATATATGAGAAAATTACACCAATCTCAGAGGATTAGAGGTCATGCCAAAAAACACACCTGGTAGTTATGTTTAAATATATTTTTAAGGCTGGGTTAAAAACCACGATGAGGCGAAACCCCATCTCTACTAAAAAAATACAAAAATTAGCTGGGCCTGGTGGTGCACGCCTGTAATCCCAGCTACTCGGGAGGCTGAGACAGGAGAATCCCTAGAACCCAGGAGGCGGAGGTTGTAGTGAGCCGAGATTGCACCACTGCACTCCAGCCTGGGCGACTGAGTGATTCTCCGTCTCCAAATATATATATACACACACACACATATACGTATATATATGTGTATATATGTATATATATATATTTTTTAACAAACATAGCTGCTATCATTGGCTCCTTTTCTCTTTTTTTTCGAGACGGTCTCACTCTGTCACCCACGTTGAAGTGCAGTGGCACAATCATGAGGCCCACCCCAACCTCTGCCTCCCAGGCTCAAGCGATCCTCCCACCTCAGCCTCCAGAGTAACTGGGACTACAGGCGTGCACCACCACGCCTGGCTAATGTTTTTGTATTTTCTGTATTGACAGGTTTTCCTCATGTTCCCCGGGCTGGTCTCAAACTCCTGTGTTCAAGCAATCCTCCGCCCAGCTCGGCCTCCCAAAGTCCTGGGATTACAGGCATAAGGACCTCCTACGGCCAAGTTTAAGCTTCAAGTGGGAGACATGGGACAATTACTTACCAGATACAACCAGTTTCAGAGGAAGCCCTACCTACCCTCTAAGCCTGACCTTATCTTGCAACCTCCATCGCCCCAGACCTCCCCCGGCTCCAAAAAGCACTCCCAAGAGGCCTCATAAAGGCCACAGTTTGGGGAAGGTTATGGCTCAGGGGAAGGGGAGAGGTGCTAAATAATTAAGCCCCCCTACTACTCAGCACCCGCGTGAGGCATCGTCAGGCATCGTCAGGCCTCCAGTGGTGGTGGTGGCACCGGGCCTCAACCTCCCCGGAGGGCTGGACTCTCGCTGCCAGGCTGTGGGGATCAGGCGTTGTGGGGGAGGGGGACACTTAACAGGTATGGAGGGCGGAGCAGAGCCCCGCAGTCACTGGCCTGACTTCCGGAACGAACCGTCGCCAGCAAGCACAGCAGTAGGACCAGGGGGATGCAAGAGCGGGGGCGGCCGGGGATCGTGCTTCTCGCTCAGGTCCAGATTCCCGGCAACCAGGCCGGCGGAATCACGTGCCATGCTCCAGGCCAGCGTAGTCCCGCCCATCTTCCAGCTGAGCGTACCGGGAGGCTCCCATTGGACTGGAGCTGCTATGGAGGCGGGACTTTCCCTTTTTCTTGAACCCCATTGGGTTAAGTCCAGTCCGAGACAAGCGTCTCTCCTCAGCAGTGGGAGGGGTGATTTGGCTCATCCATACTTAGGAATTTGGGGTTTGAGGCCGGGTGCGGTGGCTCACGCCTGTAATCCCAGCACTTTGGGGGGCCGAGGCGGGCGGATCACAAGGTCAGGAGATCGAGACCATCCTGGCTAACACTATGAAACCCCGTCTCTACTAAAAAAATACAAAAAAATTAGCCGGGTGTGGTGGCGGGCACCTGTAGTCCCAGCTACTCGGGAGGCTGAGGCAGGAGAATGGCGTGAACGCTGGAGGCAGAGCTTGCAGTGAGCAGAGATCGCGCCACTGCACTCCAGCCTGGGCGACAGAGCAAGACTCCGTCCCCCCAAAAAAATAATTTGGGGTTTGAGACCCGGCGCGGTGGCTCACGCCTGTAATCCCAGCATAATCCCAGCACTTTGTTGGGGGCCGAAGCGGGCGGATCACCTGAGGTCAGGAGTTGGAGACCAGCCTGGCCAACATAGCGAAACCCTGGCGCGCACTTGTAAACCCAGCTTCTCGGGAGACTGAGGAAGGAGAATCGCTTGAATCCGGGAGGCGGAGGTTGCAGTGAGCCGATATAGCTAGCGCCACTGCACTCCAGCCTGGGCGACAGAGTGAGACTCCGTCTCAAAAAAAGAGAGAGAATTTGAGGTTTAAGTTGTCTCTCCTTGGTCGCTGTGCAGTCGAGTGTTTTTATGTTCAGACCTCTTCCTGCCCATTTTATTTATTTAATTTATTATTTATTTATTTATTTATATTTTTTGATATGGAGTTTCACTCTTGTTGCACAGGCTGGAGTGCAATGGCGCGATCTCGGCTCACTACAACCTCCGCCTCCCAGGTTCAAGCGATTCTCCTGACTCAGCCTCCCTAGTAGCTGGGATTACAGGTGCCTGCCACCATACCCCACTAATTTTTTGTATTTTTAGTAGAGATGGGGTGTGTGTATACATATATATATATATATATAGCAAGTAGTCAAGAGCTAGTCTATTTTGATAGATAGCATTTCTCATCAGAGTCTCTTGCCGGGCAAGAACAGTCAAGGTTTGACGGTTTTATTAGTAATAATTTCTAAACAGCTTGCAACCATATGATTCGGTTGAGCATGTAGATGGGGGTTCGATATCCTCATGAGCCATCTTGTGTCTAAGTGGCAGGCCTATAGTATTATATAATTTTTTTAGGAGGTCATTTATCATCTTTCCAATTACCTATGGCTATGCTTCGTTTTTCGCAGGAAGCATAGACTGGGAAGCCCAGAAGTTTACCTGTTTTTATGGGCAGTAAGAAGAAAGATGGCTTAATGGTGCCAATTACACAGCTACCTGTCCACTGATCAGGGAGCTTAGCATAAGCTCTGCGTATAACCCGGTGGGGGCTGTCCAGTCCCGGTGGAGTTCTGGGTGGGCCCAAACAGTCTGCAACTTTGGAAATTTACTGAATGGATTTCTTTCTGTGTAATTGGAACTCCACCATGTAACTTTTTGTGGTACCATTATACAGTTTTTGCCCAAGACAACTAAGCCGCCAAACAGGATCTTTTTTATCTTCTTTTTAAGTAGCCCAAATGACACAAGACCAGTATTGACACATCTCACATAAATACAATTCTTGACAGATACACTTATTTTTTTTTTACTGTGTCACTTTTTTTTTCCAATTTAGAGAACCGCATCCTATTCCATGCTGCTTACTATCAATAGCGGCACAAGCACCAAATTTTAAGGTTACATTTTTGGGGGCCCCTCTTTTTTCCGTTCTAGCTATTACCTTACTTGTGTCACCTAGAAAAGGACCAGTCCTTAATTTTATTTTAAAAACTGTGATCACGGGAGGCTTAAAATGGGTCATAACACACATCAGGTTGGTTATTCCCTGGGCTACATACCTTGGATAGCATTATACAAACAAGTTTCTTTTAGAGTCCTGGTACACTTATAATAACCATAAAATAATAGGACTGTAGCAATTTTTGTCCTACCTCAGTGACTTGATGTATATACTGGAAACAGTTCTCAATCTGAGGAAGGTCAGTTGAAGTCCTTACTGTACAAGTCCAAATTTTAAGGAAAATGAGTCCCGCAATGAGTTTCCTCATGCTTCGCCTGTGCGTGGACCAGTCAGCTTCTGGGTGTGACTGGAGCAGGGCTTGTCTCCTTCTTCAGAGTGTCACTTTGCAGGGGTTGGCAAAGCCGCCCCCATCCACGTACAGCTCCCAGTCTACTGATGTTTAAGGGAGGTCTCGGAGGTTAGGCCTACTAGAATAAACTGAGTCCAGCACCTCTAAACAGTTATGTTTAACTGGGCTCTCTGTTACCAGGAGTAAGGTGGCTGGGTTAGGGTGTTGGAAACTTCAATGGTTATGTGGGGATTTTCACAGAGCAAGGTTTGGTATCTAGTTAGTCTAGCATTTATTAGCTAATGATGTCCTTTGGTATTTATTAAAGTCACCACAGCATGGGGAGACTTTCTGTTTAGGTTTTGCCTAAGAGTTAGCTCATCTGCTTCTTGTGCTAACAGGGCAGTTGCTGCCAGGGCCCTTGGACATGGGGGCCAGCCTTTGGAAACCCCATCTAGTTGTTTTGAGAGATAGGCCCCTGGCCTTGACCAGGGCCCTACAGTCTGGGTTAAAACTCCAACTGTCATTTTTTCTCTTTCTGACACACAGAGTGTAAAGAGTTTTGTCAGGTCAGGTAGCCTCAGGGCTGGGGCCGACATGAGTTTTTCTTTTTAACTAATGAAAAGCTCTTTGCTGTTGGTTGTAATAGATGTAGTTTATCTAATCTACATTTTTGTTGACTGTCATCTACTAAAATATTGACTTAAATCCTGTAACTATTTGATTTCAAGCTTTAAATTGATCTGGTATTCCTTGTGGGGCTCCAATTGCATTTAAGTAGATGTGAGAATTGAAAGACCTATAAGGGGCTTCTCTCGTTTTATGATGTCTTACTTTTTTTTTCCTCTGGTTGATGAAATGCCAGGGTGAAAGGGATAGCCAAATGGACTAAAGCACAAGTGCCACTCTAGTTATTCAGCAGAGTGCCCAGTAAAGGTCCACCCCGATACCACCACACATCCTCTCGGGGATGAACAAGGGCTGACTGATTGATAAGCTCTTGGAAACTCTTAAGCTCACTGCATCCCTTCAGGTCTCCAAGGAATGCTAAATCTCCTCCCTGCCGTGAGAGACAAGAAGTGAACTTAGTGTTGGGAGATGGAAGCTGGATGGCCCTCGGGGGCTGACCCGCAGAGACTTCGGGATATAGCAGAGAGAGCTTGGCATGACTTATTACTCCAGGCTGTAGAATCCTGGAAAAGAGCTACCATGCAGCCCACACCTGGTCGACTGGAGGACCACCTTAGTGGAAGAGGGACAATCAGGGCCTCTGGCCTGCCATGTGCACAAGCATAACAATTGATTTTGTTTAACGTGCAGATGGAATATTTGATCCATTCCAACCAGGCATTTGCATCTTGGTATGCTGTCTTAACTGCCAAAGTTTGTTTTAAGTCTTTAACTTCTATGATCCTCTAGTAAAATGAATGTTTCCTTTAGCATCTATTTTTATTAGTTTTTAGACCAAAGAAAGCTAAACACCATTTTATATTTAATAATGCTTCTTGTATGATTTTTATACCAGGTAAGCTAAATTTTACCTTTATATTAGTGTGTTATTAATGTTAAACTTAATTTTAATAAAACTTTGTAGACATATTTATCCAATTTTTCATGTTTGACCATAAGGTAAGGTTTTATAGACTCTTTTTAACCTTTTATAATTTTTGTTAAAGAGCAGGTTGATGCTTTAAGAAAAACCTGTCACATTTTTACTTTAATGTCCAGTTCACAGAAAAACTGGATGATACCTTTTTAACTTTAGCTAATATGTTTACACACAGAATTTTCTTTACAATTAACATTTTAAAATTTGCTTACACTTTCAAAACAATAATTTTTTTAACCTTTTAATGTAGGTAAAAATCCACATTCTTATGCCTCCTTATAATCTTTTTACCAAAGGTATATTTTACTTTTCTTATACACCTTGCACATAAACTGTTTTTTTTTTAAATAGTACTCAGGAGGCCTTATTACTTTTAAATTACACAATATTTTTTGCATAAATTTTTTTATAACATTTTTTCTTTCACGACTTTCGCCGACAATTCTTCAACATGTCTCAACTTTCTGACTTATTACAAACATTTTTTTTTCTTTAAACAACCAGTTAATTTATTTCAGGACAAGAATTTACCATATAACACTCTTTTTACATAAATTCTGCCTCCCCCGCTTTTTTTTTTTAAAGTGAACTTTTTTTTTGTCTTTGGACTAGACTGTCTAAGGCCACAAGATTAGAAGTTACCATAATACATGTTATACTGTTAATTTTTAGCAAACTTCACTTTTGTTGAAAACCTTGTAAGTTTGGGATTTCAATTATCCTTTGCTATTAATAAGACCTTGTTTAGTCTAAATTAACTTAGAATTGGTATAGATGGCCTTTTTTTCTCTCTGCTGGTCTTTCCTTGCCTCTGCCAGATGCTTATGCTACTGTTCTCTTAACTACTGTAGGGGGAAGGGGGTCTAAAACCAGCTGTAACTGTCTATGTACAGAAACTGGTCTGGATGCCTTGGCTTACAGGTTACTTTGTGTCATACCTTTGAAACAAGGGACCTGTCCAGGCTTCCTTCTGATGGCCAACCCACCTCTAATGCTGGCCAGTCTATTTCACAAGTTCTAAGTTTTCCTGGTGTCACAGTAACATCGTAATCTCCCTTAAATTCTTTCTTGAAAAAAAATTTTTTTTAACATAGTTCCTAGTGGGGTGGGCTTATTTGTGCCTGACCCATGCTTCTTCGAGACAAAACACCACGCTCACACCACACGTGCACTACAAAACAAAAAAACAGGTAAAAAGGGCACACACACTTTTGCAGTTTACACCAAACCAAAATCAGAGTATCCAAAAACCCAAGCCAGGTCAAAACCAAAACCAAAACCAAAGTATCACACAATCTAAGTCAAGTCAAAACCAGAATAAAAGTGCCAGTACAGGCACACCATGGGTGATCAGGCCATGCTTCCACTCAGATGGAGTGGGGCAAGTTCCAAAGACTAGTCTTACCAAGTTTCAGATGTCCGGACTCCAAGTGCCAGTTCCTTCCCAGTGTTCAGCCAGTGTGTTAATCCTCCTCGGGGGCCTGCTACGTGCTGCTCTGGCGAGGCGTTCCACCCGGGGAATTTCCTACCCGGGAGCGCTCTTTGGATCGCGTCACTCAGGCTGGCCAGAGTCCACCGCAGGGATGCTCCACAGGGCAGGCCTAAGCCACCCAAGGGGCTGCCTTGGCCGTCCGTCAGTTACCTCGCTTCCTGTTCAGGGAACCAAGAAATGTAGCAGGACGAGCCCCAGACAAAACCTTTCAGACACCGAGTTGTAGAAGGAAGGGCTTTATTCAGCTGCGAGCATCGGCAAGCTACTGCCTTAAAATCCAAACTCCCTGAATGCACAATTTCTGTCCCTTTTAAGGTCTCACAACACTAAAGATTTCACATGAAAGTGTCGTGATTGATTTGAGTACGCAGGCGGTACGTGACAGGGGCTGCATGCACTGGTGGTCAGAGAGAAACAGAACAGGGCAGGGAGTGTCACAATGTTCTTCTATACAATGTCTGGAATCTATGAATAACATCGCGTTCTAAGTCATGGGTTGATTTTTAACTACTGGGTTTAGGCCAGGCAGGCCCAGGCCTGGTTTCGGGCCTGGCGCCAGGCTGCCTGTCTTTGGTTTTACTTCCTTGTTTTTTCTTAAAACAGGTACTGAGTATAAAGCAATATAAAACAATACGAAAGGGTCTCTCTCTTCCCTCAAAGGGAATAGGCTGCTGTGGAGAAAGGTAAATAAATGGTGGAAAGAATTACATGGGGGATTAACTAATCTGTACACCAAATCCCCATGACAGGCAATTTACTTCTATAACAAACCTGCTCATGTAAAAGGTTTTTGGCCGGGCATGGTGGCTCACGCCTGTAATCCCAGCACTTTGGGAGGCTGAGGTGGGTGGATCACTTGAGGTCAGTAGTTTAAGACAAGCCTGGCCAACATGGTGAAACTCCATCTCTACTAAAAATACGAAAATTAGCCGGGCATGGTGGCACGCACCCGTAGTCCCAGCTACTCGGGAGGCTGAGGAAAGGGAATGGCTTGAACCTGGGAGGGGAAGGTTGCAGTGAGTCGAGATCATGCCACTGCACTCCAGGCTGGGTGACAGAGTGAGACTGTGTCTCAAAAAAAAAAAAAAAAAAAAAAAGCAAAAAGTTTTTAAAAGAAAATAGTGGAAAGACAGAGACCCTAGAAGAGGGAGAAGGCCTAAGGCAATTTCTTCTTCCTCTCTTCCCCATCATTCTTTCAGCCACTGTGGAGAGAGGGAGAGTACGGGGTGCAGGGTAGATGAGAGTAGACAATTCTGATTATTTGAGGAGGGTTTGTGGTTTAGGAAGTGAGCTTCTCACCGATTTTATTTATTTATTTTGAGACGGAGTCTCACTCTGTCACCCAGGCTGGAGTGAGATCTCAGCTCACTGCAACCTCCACCTCCCGGGTTCAAGTGTTTCTCCTGCCTCAGCCTCAGGAGTAGCTGGGACTACAGGCATGCACCACCATGCCTGGCTAATTTTTTGTATTTTTAGTAGAGATGGGGATTTCACCATGTTGGCCAGGCTGGTCTCAAACTTCTGACCTCAGGTGATCTGCCCACCTCAGCCTCCCAGAGTGCTGGGATTACAGGCGTGAGCCCCGCACCTGGCCTAAAAACTTTTATATTAAGTTCAGGGGTATATGAGCAGGTTTGTTATAGAGCTAAATTGCCTGTCACGGGGGTTTAGTGTACAGATTAGTTAATTCCCCTTGTAATTTTTTCCATCATTTATTTACCTTTCTCCGCAGCAGCCTATTCACCTAACAATAAACTGAGTGCCCATTATGTGCCAAGAACTGGAGATAAGGATATGAGTAAGGAATCTTACTTATCTCCAGTTCTTATAGCATATACTCATTCTGTTTCTCTTTCCTTTGGCCTAGTTTGAGTGCCCAGCAGGTGTTTCAAGTCACTGATTACGTATCTACTCTGCGAAAGTTGTTTGTGCAGCCTGTTTATCCTCTCCTTTGGAACTTCAGTACTCTTTTTTTTTTTTTTGAGACGGAGTCTTGCTCTGTTGCCCAGGCTAGAGTTCAGTGGTGTGATCTCAGCTCACTGCAAGCTCTGCTTCCCGGGTTCATGCCATTCTCCTGCCTCAGCCTCCCGAGTAGCTGGGATTACGGGTGCCTGCCACCACGCCTGGCTAATTTTTTTGTATTTTTAGTAGAGATGGGGTTTCACCATGTTAGCCAGGATGGTCTCGATCTCCTGACCTCGTGATCCGCCTGCCTCAGCCTCCCAAAGTGCTGGGATTACAGGCTTGAGCCACCGTGCCCGTTGTGCCTTGCTAATTTTTTGTATTTTTTTTTTGAGATGGAGTCTCGCTCTGTCGCCCAGGCTGGAGTGCAATGGTGTGATCTGGCTCACTGCAATCTCCACCTCTCGGGTTCAAGTGATTCTCCTGCCTCAGCCTCCCAGGTAGCTGGGACTACAGGCATGTGCCACTACGCCCAGCTAATTTCTTGTATTTTTAGTAGAGATGGGGTTTTACTGTGTTAGCCAGGATAGTCTCCATCTCCTGACCTCGTGGTCCACTGGTCCACCTGCCTTGGCCTCCCAAAGTACAGGAATTACAAGCGTGAGTCACCACACTCAGCCAATTTTTTGTATTTTTAATAGAGATGAGGTTGCACCATGTTGGCCAGGCTGGTCTTGAACTCCTGACCTCAGGTGATCCTTCCACCTCGGCCTCCTAAAATGCTGAGATTACAGGTGTGAGCCACCACACCTGGCCCAATTATCTTATTTATTATCATTATTATTTTTGAGACGGAGTTTTGTTCTTGTTGCCCAGGCTGGAGTGCAATGGCACAATCTCAGCTCACCGCAACCTCTGCCTCCTGGGTTCAAGTGATTTTTCTGCCTCAGCCTCCTGAGTAGCTGGGATCACAAACCCCTGCCACCACCCTCGGCTAATTTTGTATTTTTGGTAGAGACAGGGTTTCTCCATGTGGGCCAGGCTAGTCTCAAACTCCTGACCTCAGGTGATCCGCCCACCTCGGCCTCCCAAAGTGCTGGGATTACAGGCATGAGCCACAGCCCCCGGCTACTTTTTATTATTAACATTAAAATATTTTTGTTTAATTAATTTATTTATTTTTAAAATTATTATTATTACTTTTTTTACTTTAAGTTCCAGGATACATGTGCAGAATGTGCAGGTTTGTTACATAAGTATACATGTGCCATGGTGATTTCTGCACCTATCAACCTGTCATCCAGGTTTTAAGCCCCGCCTGCATTGGGTATTTGTCCTAATGCTCTCCCTCCCTTTGTCCCCAACCCTATTTTATTTTTTTGAGACAGAGTCTCCCTCTATTGCTCAGGCTGGAGTGCAGTGGTGTGATCTCAGCTCACTGCAACTTCCACCTCCCAGGGTCAAGCGATTTTCCTCTCTCAGCCTCCTGAGTAGCTGGGACTACAGGTACACACCACACACCTGGATGATTTTTGTATTTGCTTGCAGAGACAGGGTTTCGCCAGGCTGGTCTCAAATTCCTGACCTCAAGTGATCCACCCACTTTGGCCTCCCAAAATGCTGGGATTACAGGCGTGAGACACCGTGCCCAGCAAAAATATTTTTATTTTAAAATTTATTAAATTTATTAAAATTTTATTTTAAAATTTCACCATTTACAAAAAGTGAAATGATCAGATCTTTAGCAAATCCATCAATGAATTTTGACAAGTACATGTCACCCACACCCCTGTCAAGATATAAAAAGTTCTCTTTGCCCTCTTTGATTCTGCCCTACCCCTGAGTAGCCATGGATCTGATGACTATCACTATAGAGCAGTTTTTCCTAATTTTTTTTTTTTTTTGAGATGGAGTCTCATTCTGCCACCCAGGCTGGAGTGCAATGGCGCGATCTCGGCTCACTGCAACCTCTGCCTCCTGGGTTCAAGAGATTCTCCTGCCTCAGCCTCCTGAGTAGCTGGGAGTACAGGTGTGAGCCATCATGACTGGCTAATTTTGTACTTCCAGTAGAGATGGGGTTTCGCTATGTTCACCAGGCTGGTCTCAAACTCCTGACCTCAGGTGATCCACCCGCCTCGGCCTCCCAAAGTGCTGGGATTACAGGTGTGAGCCACTGTGCTGGGCTGCCTGTTTTAAAACTTCCTATAAATGCATGCATAGGTATGGCCTCTTTTGTGTCTGGCTTTTTGTATTTGGCATAATATCTATGTAATCCATCCATGTTGTTGCACCTATCAGTAGTTCATTCTTTCTTTAAAAAAAAAAAATTTTTTTTTTTAAATTTTGAGACAGTCTCACTGTCTTAGGCTGCAGTGCAGTGGTGAGATCTCAGGTCACAGCAACCTCCACCTCCCAGGTACAAGCATTTCTTCTGCCTCAGCCCCCTGAGTAGCTGGAACTACAGGTGTGTGCACCACCACGCCTGGCTAATTTTTGTATTTTTAGTACAGATGGGATTTCCCAGCTACTCCAGAGGCTGAGGCAGGAGAATCACTTGAACCCAGAAGGCAGAGGTTGCAGTAAGCCAAGATCGCACCATTGCACTCTAGCCTGGGCGGCAAGAGTGAAACTCTGTCTCAAAAAAAAGCCAGGTGTTGTGGCTCACACCTGTGGTCCCAGCTAGTGGGGAGCCCAAGAGTTCAAGCCTTCAGTGAGTGGTAGTCATACTAGTATACCCCAGCCTGGGTGACAGAGTGAAACCTTGTCTCAGAAAGAAAAAAAAAAACAAGATGAAGGAAAGCATATGTAGTTTGCTAAAATTTATGTGGAAAGAGGGAAATTATATGTATATACACACACACTTATATTTGCTTGCATATGCATAAAACGTCTAAGTTTGTTTGGTTTTTTTGGGACAGAATCTGACTGTCACCCAGGCTGGAGTGCAATGGTGCAATCTCAGCTCACTGCAACCTCCGCCTCCCGGGTTCAAGTGATTCTCCTGCCTCAGCCTCCCAAGTAGCTGGATTACAGCCTTCTGCCACCACGCCCACTAATGTTTTGTATTTTTAGTAGAGACAGGGTTTTGCCATGTTTTCCAGGCTAGTCTCGAACTCCTTACCTCAGGTGATCCGCCCGCCTCGGCCTCCCAAAGTGCTGGAATTACAGGCGTGGGCCACCAAGCCCGAACAAATGTCTTAAGTTTGTTTTCTTTCTTTCTTTAATTAATTAATTAATTTATTTATTTTTCGAGACGGAGTCTTGCTCTTGTCGCCCAGGCTGGAGTGCAATGGCAAGATCTCGGCTCACTGCAACCTCTGCCTCCCGGGTTCAAGTGATTCTCCTGCCTCAGCCTCCCAAGTAGCTGGGATTACAGATGCCCACCACCACACCCGACTAATTTTTGTATTTTTAGTAGAGACGGGGGTTTCATCATGTTGGCCAGGCTGGTCTCGAACTCTTGACCTTGTAATCCACCTGCTTCGGCCTCCCAAAGTGCTGGGATTACAGGCTTGAGCCACTGCACCCGGCCAAGACAGAGACTTTTTGCCTTTTGAACCTTTTGAATTTTTAACCAAGTGAAAACACAAAAGGTAATTCCAAGGAGGAAAAAAACCCAAAAAACTCATAGTGAAAATTTAAGAAAAAAACTCAGCCTGATAGAATTCTCTTACCTTCATTAAGAGAAAACAAAAATTGTAGCTGGGGCCAGGCGCGGTGGCTCACGCCTGTAATCCCAGCACTTTGTGAGGCAGAGGCAAGCGGATCACGAGGTCAGGAGATGGAGACCATCCTGGCTAACACGGTGAAACCCTGTCTCTACTAAAAATACAAAAAATTAGCCGGGTGTGGTGGCGGGCACCTATAGTCCCAGCTACTCAGGAGGCTGAGGCAGGAGAATGGCGTGAACCCGGGAGGCAGAGCTTGCAGTGAGCCAAGATCGTGCCACTGCACTCCAGCCTGGGTGACAGAGCGAGACTCCATCTCAAAAAAAAAAAAAAAATTGTCTAAAAATTATATCACTCCTTTTTTTTTTTTTTTTTGAGATGGAGTCTTGCTGTGTTGGCCAGGCTGGAGTGCAGTGATGCAATCTTGGCTCACTGCAACCTCTGCCTTAAGAGCTCGAGCAATTCTCTTGCCTCCTGAGTAGCAGGGACTACAGTTGCATGCCACCATGCCCAGCTAATTTTTGTATTTCTAGTAGAGATGGGGTTGCACCATGTTGACTAGGCTGGTCTTGAACTCCTGACCTCAAGCGATCCACCGTGGCCCACCCTCAGCCTTTCAAATTTCTGGCATTACAGGCATGAGCCACTGCTCCCAGCCAAACCGCAGTCTTTACAAAGGATTCTTTTTTTTTTTTTTTTTCTGATGGAGTTTTGCTGTTGTTGCCCAGGCTGGAGTGCAAGGATGCAATCTTGGCTCACTGCAATCTCTGCCTTCCATGTTCAAGTGATTCTCCTGCTTCAGCCTCCCCAGTAGCTGAGATTACTGGTGCATGCTACCACACCCAGCTAATTTTTAGTAGAGATGGGGTTTCACCATGTTGGCCCGGCTGGTCTCGAACTCCTGACCTCAGATGATCCACCCTCCGCGGTCTCCCAAAGTGCTGTGATTACAGGTGTGAGCCACCATGCCTGGCCTTTACAAGGGATTCTAATGGTCTAATGCGACAGTTGTGGCTTCAGTGAGCTCAGGGTGCCCTCTGGTGTCCATGTGGGCCCAAGGATGTGATATTTAGAAAAAACACTTGTAATTCTGGGGGACATGTAATTGAAGCCACTTGCCAACTTTTCAAGATTCTTATTTTTTTTTTTTTTTTTTGGAGACAGAGTCTCGCTCTGTTGCCCCATCTGGAGTGCAGTGGTGCAATCTTCTCGGTTCACTGCAACCTCCGCCTCCCTGGTTCAAGCGATTCTCTGCCTCAGCCTCTGGAGTAGCTGGGACTACAGGTGCATGCCACCATGCCTGGCTACTTTTTGTATTTTTTGCAGAGACAGGGTTTCACCATGTTGGCCAAGGTGGTCTGGAACTCCTGGCCTCAAGTGATCCATTGGCCTTGGTCTCCCAAAGTGCTGGGATTACAGGTGTGAGCCACCATGCCCGGCCTTTTTATTTTATTTTATTTTTTTTGAAACAGAGTCTCACTTTTTTGCCCAGGCTGGAATGTTGGTGGCCTGATCTCTGCTCACTGTAACCTCCACCTCCCGGGCTCCAGCGATCCTCCCACCTCAGCCTCCCAAGTGGCTGGGATTACAGGCGTGCGCAACCAAAGATTCTCATTCTTAGCCCATTCTGTTATCCCTATGAGTCTGCTAATAGTTGTCATACTAGGTCACCCTGTATTTGGATCAGAAGGTATGGTAGGAGTGCCTAGGGTCATATCCCAGGCCCAAACAGCTGAGGGCAGTAGAGTAAGGCCTGCAGGTCAATGCTTCGAGGAGGGGTGGGAAGGATTGAGGGTGTGGGGGCCAGACTGTGTAGTGGCAGGAACCCCAGGTGCTGTGTGAAGCAGAGAGCATGCATCACCCTCTGACCCACATTCAGTTTCTTCCTGGGTGTCTGCAATTCCCGGGACTCCCAAGGAATTCAAATGCTGCAGCCTTGGGCTTGCGAATTCTCCAGGATGGGCAGAGTATGGTCTTATTTATCCTACACTTCTGCCTCATAGTGCTCTCCCAGTCCTCTTCTGTTATTAGAGATCAAACCAGGTTGCTTTAGGGCAGTGATTCTCAAAGTGTAGTCCTGGGACAAACAGCACTGGCATCACCTGGAAACTTCTTAGAAATGCAATTCTCAGCTGGGCGCAGTGGCTCACGCCTGTAATCCCAGCACTTTGGGAGGCTGAGGCGGGCGGATCACCTGAGGTCAGGAGTTCGAGACCAGCCTGGCCAACATGGTGAAACCCTGTCTCTACTAAAAATACAAAAAATTAGCCGAGCGTGGTGGCAGGCGTCTGTAATCCCAGCTACCTGGGAGGCTGAGACAGGAGAATCACTTGAACCCGGGAGGCGGAGGTTGCAGTGAGCCAAGATTGCGCCATCGCACTCCAGCCTGGGGGACAATAGCAAGACTTCGTCTCAAAATAAATAAATAAATAAATAAATAAAAAAGGAAATGCAATTCTCTGGCCTGGCCCACACATATTATATCAGAAACTGCAGTTTAACCTCCCCCCACCCCTGGAGAATTCTGCTTTTCGAATCAGGCCTTTCTCTTTTTCTGTCTGTCTTAAGTCTCAACATTGAGTAGCTGTGATTTTGGAATAGTCAGATGTGGGACACCCTTTCTTGCCAGGAAGCATCTGGCTCCTCAGTCAGCTTAGTCTGATTCTTGGCCTGGCCCAGGGAAAGAAATTCATGTTCTGGATTCTGAGCAATGCTCTCTTGTCCCAGGTGCCTGTTGGGCTCCTACTTACACCTCAAAACATAGCTTGAACATTGTCTCTTTTGTGAACTTTCTGTGACTCCTAGGTCAGAGAAGATGGTCTACTTGTGAGTTTGCAAAGCATGTGTACATGTCCTGCCAACCATTAGTGTTAAAATTTCCTGACTGATCTCTGCCTGAGCAAGACTGGGACAACCTTGAGCGCAAGGGAGGTTTGGTTCCTCTTACCTCAGCCCCAGCTCCTTAAACACAATGCCTGGCACGTGGTAGGTATTTGATAAATATTTATTCAATGAAGGAACTGCCTGCAATGGCCTGGTAGACAGGAAAGCGGAATGAAAGCAGGCCAAAAGTGGCTGGGAGAAGATTTTCTAAATCCCGATGTTGGGCACAGGGACCCCTGAAGTTTTCTTTTGGAACCTTCCTATCTGTCTTGTTCTCCTCTCACCAGGCACATCCCTGCCCTCCAGAGCCCACTTAGTCACACACTACCTTTCAGGACTACCTTCCACATCAGCCAGGTGCAAACCCCACAATGACTTCTGCCATGGCTCCCAATGCTTGGCTGCAACTCTGAGGCCAATTTCAGTGAGAGTAAGGAGCTTATCCAATGGAAGTGTCACTAGGAGTGACAATGGCTGGCTTGAAGATTAGGGAAATAGTGTTTACATTTCAAAAGAGAAGACTGCTCCACAAGGAATGTACAGTTTTGATATGTGCAGGGCTCAGGTCTTCAGGGGATAAATAAGTTCCTAAATGCGCCATCAACAGGAATTTCCTTCAGGATAAGTAGGAAAAGAACATTTAGGCTTTTTAATTAAAATTTTATTTTACATGTTTTTAAAATTCACAATAGATATTTTATCCTAAAATAAAGTAAAACCGAGAGGTGACAGCGTGCTGGCAGTCCTCACAGCCCTCGCTTGCTCTCCGCGCCTCCTCTGCCTGGGCTCCTACTTTGGCGGCACTTGAGGAGCCCTTCAGCCCACCGCTGCACTGTGGGAGCCCCTTTCTGGGCTGGCCAAGGCCGGAGCCCTCTCCTTCAGCTTGCGGGGAGGTGTGGAGGGAGAGGCGCGAGCGGGAACCGGGGCTGTGTGCCGCGCTTGCCGGCCAGCTGGAGTTCCGGGTGGGCGTGGGCTTGGCGGGCCCCGCACTCGGAGCAGCCGGCCAGCCCTGCTGGCCCCTGGCAATGAGGGACTTAGCACCCGGGCCAGCAGCTGCGGAGGGTGTACTGGGTCCCCCAGCAGTGCCAGCCCACCAGCGCTGCGCTCGATTTCTCACCGAGCCTTAGCTGCCTTCCCGCGGGGCAGGGCTGGGGACCTGCAGCCCGCCATGCCTAAGCCTCCCACCCACTCCAAGGGCTCCTGTGCGGCCCGAGCCTCCTCGACGAGCGCCGCCCCCTGCTCCAGGGCGCCCAGTCCCATCGACCACCCAAGGGCTGAGGAATGCAAGCGCACCGTGCGGGACTGGTAGGCAGCTCCACCTGCAGCCCCGGTGCGGGATCCACTAAGTGAAGCCAGCTGGGCTCCTGAGTCTGGTGGGGACGTGGAGAGTCTTTATGTCTAGCTCAGGGATTGTAAACACACCAATCAGCACCTTGTGCCTAGCTCAGGGTTTCTGAGCGCACCAATCCACACTCTATCTAGCTGCTCTGGTGGGGCCTTGGAGAACCTTTATGTCTAGCTCAGGGATTGTAAATACACCAATCGGCACTCTGTATCTAGCTCAAGGTTTGTAAACACACCAATCAGCACCCTGTGTTTAGCTCAAGGTTTGTGAATGCACCAATCTACACTCTCTATCTAGCTGCTCTGGTGGGGCCTTGGAGAACCTTTGTGTCCATACTGTGTATCTAACTAATCTGATGGGGACTTGGAGAACCTTTGTGTCTAGCTCAGGGATTGCAAACGCACCAATCAGCACCCTGTCAAAACAGACCACTCGGCTCTACCAATCAGCAGGATGTGGGTGGGGCCAGATAAGAGAATAAAAGCAGGCTGCCCGAGCCAGCAGTGGCAACCTGCTTGGGTCCTTTTCCACACTGCTAAAGCTTTGTTCTTTCACTCTGTAATAAATCTTGCTACTGCTCACTCTTTGAGTCCATAGTGCTTTTATGAGCTGTAACACTCACTGTGAAGGTCTACAGCTTCACTCCTGAAGCCAGCAAGACCAAAAGCCTACCGGGAGAAACGAACAACTCCAGACGTGCCGCCTTAAGAGCTATAACACTGACCGCGAAGCTCTGTAGCTTCACTCCTGAGCCAGCGAGACCACGAACCCACCAGAAGGAAAAAACTCAGGACACGTCCGAACATCAGAAGGAACAAACTCCAAACGTGCCACTTTAAGAGCTGTAACACTCACCGCGAGGGTCCGCAGTTTCATTCTTGAAGTCAGTGAGATCAAAAACCCACCACTTCCAGACACAAAACTTGCTTAATTACAGAAAATATGAAAAGTACATAAAAGTAGGGTCTCACTCTGTCGTCCAGGCTGGAGTGCAGTGGTGTGATCACGGCTCACTGCAACCTCAAACTCCTGGTCTCACACGATCCTCCTGCCTCGACTCCGAAAACGCTAGTTTTACAGGTATGAATCATAGCGCCAGCTCTTACTGTCTCTCTTCAACACGTCCTCCCATCCTTCCCTCCTTTCTCCACTCTGCATTTGACCCCAGTGTATTCCAGCCTCCAGGCCAACACACGTGACCACGTCTGCCTGGGGCAGGTGAAGTAAAGGACGCGAGGCGGCGCTGTCACCGCATTCTGTAAACCGCAGCGCTCTGGGTCCCTCCCGCTGGTCTAGTATCATTTCAGTGAACGTCACTCTACATTTTTTTTTTTTTTTTTTTGTGAGATGGAGTCTCACTCTGTCGCCCAGGCTGGAGTGCAGTGGCGCGATCTCGGCTCCCTGCAAGCTCCGCCTCCCGCGTTCACGCCATTTTTCTGCCTCAGCCTCCGAGTAGCTGGGACTACAGGCGCCTACCACCACACCCGGCTAATTTTTGTATTTTTAGTAGAGAAGGGGCTTCACCATGTTGGCCAAGCTGGTCTCGAACTCCTGACCTCAAGTGATCCGCCCGCCATGGTCTCCCAAAGTGCCGGGATTACAGGCGTGAGCCACCGCGCTCGGCTGTCACTGCAGACTTTGATGGGGGCCACACTCGGGGTATAAATTAGGATCCTCACTGAAAGGGCGGGACCATGGAGGCTTTTTCTTGGCCCCTTAGTTGTGGGTTTTCCTCTGGGCGGCGAAGCCAGTTTCCATCAGAACGGCCCAGAGGCGGGCGCTGCCTTCCTGGGGTGACGCAGCAGCAGGAAGAGTTTCCGGATCCTGGAATCCGTGGGCGGCCCGTGGGAGGGGCTGAGGCTCATTTCTCTACTCACCTGTCTCCGAATCCGCCGTGGTGTTTCAAGCGAGTCAAGATTCCAGATCGCGCCCCAGGCTGGACTCGGAATTACTGCCCCGCGGGTCTGCATTTTCACAGCGGCAGGTGTGAGTTCCCCGCCGCTGGAGACCAGAAGCCTGAAGGCAGCTCCGCCCACCCCAGCCCACAGCGCCGTTATTCCGTTTCTATATCAGTAAACACTTGTCATTTTCCGTAGACCAGGGCGGGGTGACGGGTGATCCCAGTCCTCGCAGTGAACTCTGGGGCGCAGAATTCAAAACGCCTGCGGTCGCTGAGCGCAGCCCCGCCCTGGGTTATGTAAGTGACAGCGCTGGGCCGTTTCTCTTTTTTTTCCGGACCCCGCAGTGGCGCCTAAAGTCTGCAAGGAGGAGGTCGCCTCTGTGCTGTGAGTCCAGGAATCTAAGGCGAGTGCTGAGGGAGAAAATGTAGTTGATGGGGCAGAGCAGAAGGGGCTGTAGGTGGGTTGGAGGGGGAGGGGAACGGGCAGCCAGGCCTGGACCCTGGGGAGTGACTCACCCGGAGCCGAAGACCATCTCAGCTTTCCCTAGCCCAGAAAGGGTGGGACTGGCTTTATTTCTGCCTGCCATCACCTCAAAATGCCGTGGGACAAATCTTACATATTATTATTGTTATTTATTTATGTATTTTATTTTTTTTGAGACAGTCTTGGTCTGTCACCCAGACTGGAGTGCAGTGGCGCCATCTGGGCTCACTGCAACCTCCGCCCCCCCGGGTTCAAGCAATTCTTCCTGCCTCAGCCTCCCAAGTAGCTGCGATTACAGGCACCCCCCACCACGCCCGGCTAATTTTTATATTTTTAGTAGAGACGGGGTTTTGCCATGTTGTCCAGGCTAGTCTCGAACTCCTGACCTTAGGTGATCCACCCGCCTCGGCCTCCCAAAGTGCTGGGATTACAGGTGTAAGCCACCGCGCCTGGCCGGGAAATATCTCTTACAGAAATAAAGACAGTTGGCTGGGTGTGGTGGCTCACCTGTAATCCTAGCACTTTGGGAGGGTGAGGCAGGCAGATGGTTTGAGCCTAGGAGTTTAAGACCAGCCTGGGCAAAATGGTGAAACCCCTTCTCCACCAGAAATACAAAAAATTAGCCAGGTGAGGTGGCTCATGCCTGTAGTCCCAGCTACTCTGGAAGCTGAGGTGGGAGGATCACCTGAGCCTGGGGAGGTCGCGGCTGCAGTGAGCCATGATTAACCCACAACTGCACTCCGCCTGGGTGACAGAGTGAGGCCCTGTGTTAAAAAATAAGAAAGAAAGAAGAGAGAGAGAGAGGAAGGGAGGGAGGGAGGGAGGGAGTTGAGGTTCAGAATATGTAACAGTGTTTATTGCTATACTCCATTCAATGGACTACGGACTATTATGCAGTGATTTAAAAGTAGGAGTTTGGGCTCACACCTGTAATCTCAGCATTTGGGAGGCTGAGGTAGGCGGATCACTTGAGGTCAGGAGTTCGAAACCAGCCTGGTCAACATGGTGAAACCTCGTTTCTACTAAAAATACAAAAATTACCCTGGCATGGTGGCACACGCCTGTAATCTCAGTTACTTGGGAGGCTGAGGCAGGAGAATCACTTGAACTTGGGAGGTGGAGGTTGCAGTGAGCTGAGATTGCATCACTGCACTCCAGCTTGGGGGACAAGAGCAAAACTCCGTCTCAAAAAAAAAAAAAGATATTTCCCACCTTGGATTGCTGGGTCGGGGGGTGGTGGGTATTTTCATTCATAATTGTCAGATTACTTTCATAAACAATGGAAACAGTTTCAAGCTCCTCAGCTTCTCACCTCCAAAATGGGCCTTTTCCTGTATCATTAACAGTCCTCAATGTTCTGGCTAATCAACTGAGCGACTGTTTATAGATTTGCAGGCCATTTGGATTTACAATTAATCTTATTAATGAGGCTGAAATGTGAAGTTTATCTCAGCCTCAAGGAAGTAATTCAGCAAGGATCAGTGGTTTCACTTAACAGTCTGGCTCTGAGGCTGGCTGTGACCCTGTTATCCATGGTGAGCACCATGGGAATGCAGGCAAGGGCTGTGAGAGGCTTGGAACAAGGCTCCACCCAGGAGAGATCTGGGTGGGCGTTGGTGACCAGTAGAACCTAGGTGTCCTGGCCCAGTGCCCTTGGAGACTAGTCTTCTTTACCCCAGGCATCTTCTTTATTCTGGAATGAGCCTGCCCATCCCTCAGGAAGACTGAAAGGAATTCGGTCAGAAGAATATTATTGACTTTTGTCCAGACTTGATTTCAGTAGAGTTCTGGGACCTGCCATATCCTATGGGTGAGCTCTATCCAGGTCCCCTTCCCTGAATTACCTGTCCTCTCCCCACTGACTGGGATGACACTTAATTTTACAACCTGCTGTAGCATCTTTGCTCCCACTGTGACAGTAAACTCCTTGAGACTGGTGGCCATCTTGGGAAGTGATTAGATTCAGAAGAGGTTGAGAGGTTGGGGCCCCCATGATGGGATTAGTGTCCTTTTAAGAAAAAGAAGAGACTGGAGCTCCCACTCTCTTCACCACGTGAGGATATGGCAAGAAGGCAGCTGTCTGCCAGGCAGGAAGAGGGCCCTCACCAGGAACTGAATCTGCTGGTTCCCTAACCTCAGATTTCCAGGGTCCAGAATTGTGAGAAAGAAATGTCTGTTGTTAACCAATCCATCTGTGGTGTTTTGTTATGGCAGCACAAGCTGACTAAACAAGTGCCAAAACCAAACCAGTAACTCCCACTTTCTAGTCTCGGACCCAGTATTAAGGAATTCTGGTCACATAGTTTATTCATCCATTTAACAAATATTTAGTAAGTGCTTCTGTGCCAGGCATTTTTCTAGGCCTGGTGATCATTTAATCAAAAGAGACTAACACCTGCTCCCTGATGCTTACAATCTGAAAGACAATAAGGAAAAATATAATAACAGTAGTGAATTATATGGATGTGTTCCAGCAATTGATTGCTGAGCAAAAAATAATCTTAACGCATACAAACGCCGGGCATGGTGGCTCACACCTGTAATTCCAGCACTTTGGGAGGCTGAGGTGGGCAGATCACAAGGTCAAGAGTTCGAGACCAGCCTGGCCAGCATGATGAAACCCCGTTTCTACTAAAAATACAAAAATTAGCTGGGCGTGGTGGTAGGTGCCTGTAATCCCAGCTGCTTGGGAGGCTGAGGCAGGAGAATCGCTTGAAACCAGAAGGTGGAGGTTGCAGTGAGCCAAGATTGTGCCACTGCACTCCAGCCTGGGTGACAGAGTGAGACTCCATCCCCCCCAAAATATATATATACATATATATATATATATATATATACATATATATATATATATATATATATGTATATTATAAACAACCTTTATATTATCTCTCATTCTGTGGGCTGATTGGGCTCAGCTGGGCAGCTCTTCCGCTCCATACAACATGGGCTGGGCCACCATCATCTGGAGCCCAGCTGGTCCAACACATTCAAGAGGCTCCTGCACAGGGCTGCAGTTGGTGCTGGCTTGTTGGCTGGGAACTCACTGAGGCTGTGAACCAGGTGACTTGGTTTCTCCTCCACCTGCTCCTCCACGTGCCCTGGCTGCTTCTGGCTCTGCACCTGGGGTCCGGGTGTTTCAAGTGGCCAAGTCAGAACCACAAGGCATCTTATGCTGGAACCTCAGAAGTCAGGCAGCATCACGTTCCTCATGTTCTAGTCACCAAAGCAAGTCCCAGATCCAAAAAGAGGGGGATTAGCATCAGCTCTTGATAGAGGACGGCAAGGTCACATTGCTAAAGAGCATGTGGGATGGGAGATATTGTTGAGGCCATCTTTGGAAAAGGACTTTTATGTTTACAAAGTGATAGGTGATAAAAAGAAAAAATAGGCCAGGTGCGGTGGCTCACGCCTGTAACCCCAGCACTTTGGGAGACCGAGATGGGTGGATCACGAGGTCAAGAGATCGAGACCATCCTGGCCAACATGGTGAAACTCTGTCTCTACTTAAAAATACAAAAATTAGCTGGGTGTGGTGGCGTGCACCTGTAGTCCCAGCTACCCTGAAGGCTGAGGCAGGAGAATCGCTTGAACCCAGGAGGTGAAGGTTGCAGTGAGCCAATATCGCACCACTGCCCTCCAGCCTGGTGACAGAGCAAGACTCCACCTCAAAAAAAAAAAAAAAAAAAGTAAAAAAAAAAAATGCAAAGTTGACAATCAATGCAAAGTAATAGAGGTGGCATTTTAAGTAGGGTGTTCAGGGTGGGCCTCATGAAGGTGCCATTTGAGCAGACTTGAAGAGGAGAGAAACTGAGACACGCAGGTATGTGCAAAGGAAGAACCTTCCAGAATCACCCTCATGTACACCTATGCTCTGTACATACCCAGGGCTCTGCACTGAGGCAGACCCTAAAGCTGCAGTGGGAATGGAGGTGGACACACTTATGGAAAGACTTCTTCAAAGAATGTTGGGGACCCAGGTCTACCCTTCCTGCTGTGGCTCTTACACGACCTGGAGTTGGGGAGGGAAAGGCACTGGCATGTGGAGGAAGACTAGGAGAGGAGGGGAGGCCAAAGCGTGTCCCACCCTCACTCCACCTCTCTGCTCTCTCTCCTACATCGAGTGCCTCCTTCCCCAGGGCTTGTGGTCCCTGACAAGGAGGACCCTGAGGGCAACCACACCTTGCCATGCAGAGCACCTGGCTTCTCATCTGCCAACCTCACTCTGACCCGGCTGCAGGAAGGGAAGGAGCCAACCCCGGACTCAAGACTCAAGGGGACCAGAACCAGGGAGATGAGACATACCAGGGCTGGGCAGCTGTGGGGGTCCTTCCAGAGAGGAGCTGAGATACGCCTACCTGGAGGGGCCCCTGGGCCTGGAGGGGCTCCTCAGTGTGACTGGGTGAAGTGTTTTCAGAGGACCAGGGTTGAGGTTGGGGGCATCTCATCCAGACCCTGCCGGCATCTGCCCCAGAACCCAAGGGCCCCTCCTTCCTCCCTCCTCAATGGAAATGCTGGGGATGTCCTCAGTCACCCTCTGAGCACTCACACATCACCCCTTATTTGGAAATTTTTCTCACTCTAACCTTCCTTCCTGCTGCACCTTCTGCCCCATCCCCAGGCTCTGGCCTCTCTCTCTCCTCTTCTACCCTTTAGCAGGTAATGACTCAGTTCCCACTGAGGAGCCAGCTGTAGGTGAGAGTCTGGGCTCTCGGTGAGGTTGGGAGAAGGAAAAGGCTTATGGGCCAGGGGGTGGGAGGGAGAATGGGCACAGCCAGAGCAGAGTGGAAGGGTTGGGGGAGGCGATAAAGACAGATGTTTCCGTATTACCATTTTTCTTTCATGGTCCGAGGGAGCTGCCCTTCCCCCAAGCCCAGGAAAGTGAAAAGAGAAGCAGGAACAGTGAAATACTCCACAGGAAAGAAAAATCTTAGTGATCCCTCCTGCTGTCTCTTTCCTTTTGCCTATTCTGGCAAATTTTGTAAGTGAAATTTGTTACCAAGATGTGAAAATCTTATAAGAAAGTCTCTAAATATTTGAGAATAAAATTATCAATGTCTCAGCTCTGCAGGCTGAAAAAACGGAGGCTTTACAAAATAAAATCATGCTTGGAAAACTTCTCCTCTGAGGGATGTCAAAGGCTGCACTGAATAAGCTCTAAGGTGGTGCTGAAATGAGTCATTTATTTGCCTGTGTAAGCTCAGGCAGGTGTTGGAATTGAGGAAGTATAGGTAATGAAAAAAGTAACCATGTCCTCGGGACATAGCGACTGGTGATGACCACACAATCAACACAATAAACTCTAGCATTCACATTGTAGTCCAGCTCATTCAAGCAAAGCTATCTCCAATAGGGAGTTTACCCTGTACAGAACACGTGCATTTCCACCTGTTCTCAGACTGACCCTTTGCTCATCACAATAGTGAAAAAAAACACAGCCCTGGGTGGAGATTTAAGATGCTAATGAGTCATGAGATGTATGAACAAGCATGTACAGCTACTGCACACGTGCACCCAGAAGACCGCCCAGAACATGCTTGCTAGTAACACCTCTTCCCACCCACCTCCTGTGAATAATCATGTAAGACCCCCATAAAGGGAGTTTCTCCAGCAGTGATCAATGCTGTCTCATCCTTAGGAGCAGCCCACCCTGAATCCTCTCAGGGTGTACAGTTTATTTTGCACTTAACTTTCAAAATAATATTTTTCCTTTGTAATAAATTGCTTTGTACTTCATCTCCTTTGCTGCGTGTTTCTTGTTTAAATTCTTTTAAATGAAGAAGTCAAGAACCAAGGTATTACAACAGCCGTCAACATTTCCGGTGCCATGACTCAGAGGTTTGTCTGCTTCGTTGGTTTCAGTTTCTCTTCACTACTGGTGAGTACTATGGCAGCCAGAGACCCCCGATTGACTATCACTGCTTTCCCCAGATCTATTAAGGTTTTGGGGGAGGACCTTTTAACTCACTCACATTCTTTGAGCAACTAATTGTGATTGCTTTCCATTTGGCTGCTGCTTTTACAGTGTTTACAACTACCTTATTTGGATGGAACGCCCTGATTATTCAGCCTTGGGACTTTTGCTGCTTCTGTTTCACTTTTTGTTTTGCTGTTCCTCCCAGGACTGCACCTGATCTGTACTTACTGGCTATTGTAACTTGTTTTGTTTTTTTTTTTTTTTTTTTTTTTTTTTTTTTTTGAGACAAGAGTCTCACTCTGTCACCCAGACTGGAGTACAGTGGCTCTATCTCGGCTCACTGCAACCTCCACCTCCTGGGCTCAAGCGATTCTCCTGCCTCAGCCTCCCAAGTAGCTGGGATTACAGGCGTGCACCATCACGCCCGGCTAATTTTTGTATTTTTAATAGAGTCGGGGTCTCACCATACTGGCTCAGCTGGTCTCGAACTCCTGACCTTATGATCAGCCCACCTTGGCCTCCCAAAGTGCTGGGATTACAGACATGAGCCACCGCGCCCAGCACTTGTTTGTTAATCAAGTAATCTCTTCAAAGATTTTTGTTCACCTTGAGGGACACATTAGATCTACTTTTGCCAACAGTCCCCATTCCTCCAGGCTCTGTGTGTTCTGAGACTCCTCTGAGTCTCAGAGGAGTGTGTTCTGAACGTCTCCTCTGAGAACAGGAGACGTTCCAAGAGGCCATCCATGTTGAGTGCAGGATGTGTGGCCACATGGATGTGTAGTCATGGGGACTATAACCAGGCATTCCAAGCATGATGACTGGACATTAAAAATGGCAGATCAGTGAAATAAGGAAGGGCTTGTTGGTGAGACATCCAGGCTCCCCGGCTGGCAGCAGAGATCACTTCAGTTCAGCTTGGAGACGTCCAGCACCAGTGAGACCTAGAATGGTGCATGGCAAATGCCCATGACCTCCTAGGGCCTCAGTTTCATGGGGATTCAAGGGAACACCCTGGACTCCATCGTCCAGCTTAGCTCACAGGGATGCCGATGACCTCCTGGATTTTGGTACATGTTTCTGTGGTTGCAGGATTCTCTTGTTACCTAGAAAGCCACCTCCTCTACTGTCACTGAAACACCTCTAGGGTATATACTAAACATTGGAATATTTTGAAACTGTATAAATTAAAAGATAATAGGTGGGTGCGATGGCTTACACCTGTAATCTCAGCACTTTGCGAGGCCGAGGTGGGCAGATCACCTGAGGTTGGGATTTTGAGACCAGCCTGACCAACATGGAGAAACCCCATCTCTACTAAAAATACAAAATTAGCTGGGCATGGCGGCACATTCCTGTAATCCCAGCTACTCGGGAGGCTGAGGCAGGAGAATTGCTTGAACCAGGAGGCGGAGGTTGCAGTAAGCCGAGATTATGCCATTGCACTCCAGCCTGGGCAACAAGAGCAAAACTCCGTCTCAAAAAAAAAATTTTTTTTAAATAAATAAAAGATAATAAACAATTGCCAAAGAATAAAACTATTGATACAATCCTCACCACTTTAAGGCTTAAGGTTTTCTTTTCCATCACTGAGTCTCTCCCTTTCCTCTCATTCTTCCACTTACAAATCTCCAAAACAATTCTCACGCACTGTGACTTTGCTCCCTTCAGCTGATTTATCAGTTCATCCTGATAGCCTGATAGGTGACAAGCAGAGGTGAGGACTTCAAAGTTCACACCAAGTAGATCTAGTTCACTGTGGCCCTCCCTGACAGGAGGTTTGTGAAGCTGGCAGGGCTTCCGTCCAGGCTGTGCACTGTCTGGGAATCCTCATTTGCAATGTCTGGAGATCTTCATTTTTCTTACTACTAACAATCATCTTGTTATGTTTGCACTTCTTTGCATTTCACCCCTTTTGAATTCTGTCCTTCCATGAAAATTTATTGTCCTTTTTGATCCGTCTGTATTCACAGACTTTCATTTGCGTTCTTTTTCTCTCTAACCCGTAAGACTGATAAAAATTGTCCTAAAGGTTCTTTCTTTCTGCTTTGTGTGTCAGGGCTCCTCTGCCTTTGGTGAGAGCAAAGAAAGTTTTATCTTTACCGGAAGAAAACTTTTTTTTTTTTTTTTTTGAGACGAAATCTCACTCTGTCACCCAGGCTGGAGTGCAGTGGCCCGATCTCAGCTCACTGCAACCTCCACCTCCCTGGTTCGAGCAATTCCCCTGCCTCAGCCTCCCGAGTAGCTGGGACTACAGGTGTGTGCCACCACGCCTGGCTAATTTTTTTGTATTTTTAGTAGAGATGGGGTTTCACCATATTGGCCAGACTGCTCTGGAACTCCTGACCTCAGGCAATCTGCCTGCCTCAGCCTCCCAAAATGCTGTGATTACAGGTGTGAGCCACAGTGCCCAGCCCTGGAAGAAAACTAATTGCTGGGTGAAATATATTTTCTACCAAATTCCCCTTACGAGACCTAGAAAGCCTAATGAACATAGCTACTTACATGTCCTAAGCTGTTATTTTAAGGCCAAAATTAAAACATTAAGGGCACATATAAGGTTGGCCATTACTAACCTGAAAAAAAAGATAAATAAATTTCCATGATTAGGTCTTTTCAACACTGCATGGTCCCAAACAATACTGTTTTACAATTAGAGTTTTTGTTGTTGTTGCTGTTTTTAAATAAAAAGAAAGGAAGTTTGGGTGCAGTGGCTCATGCCTGTAATCCCAGCACTTTGGGAGGCCAAGGCGGGCGGATCACAAGGTCAGGAATTTGAGACCAGCCTGGCCAATATGGTGAAACCCCGTCTCTACTAAAAATACAAAAATTAGCTGGGCATGGTGGCACGTGCCTGTAGTCCCAGCTACTCGGGAGGCTGAGGCAGGAGAATCACTTGAACCTGGGAGGCAGAGGTTGCAGTGAGACAAGATTCAGCCACTGCACTCTAGCCTGGGTGACAGAGAGAGACGCCATCTCAAAAAAAAAAAAAAAAAAAAAAAAGAAAGGAGGATGATCAGGGATTTCCCAAGGGCCCAGGGGAACCTGACATTATTCCCCCTACTAACCAGACAGCTCTATACTAAGACCAGTCCCTTAGAGACTGATACCAAATATATTATGCTCATGTTATTCAAAAGAATTCGGGAGGCCGGGCGCAGTGGCTCACGCCTGTAATCCCAGCACTTTGGGAGGCTGAGGCAGGTGGATCATGAGGTCAGGAGTTCGAGACCAGCCTGACCAACATGGTGAAACCCCATCTCTACTAAAAATACAAAAATTAGCCAGGCGTGGTGGCTTGCACCTGTAATCCCAGCTACTCAGGAGGCTGAGGCAAGATAATCACTTGAACGTGGGAGGCGGAGGTTGCAGTGAATCGAGATCACACCACTGCACTCCATCCTGGGTGACAGAGCGAGACTCTGTCTCAAAAAAGAATTTGGGGAAATCTAACATAATTAATGACTCTATAATAAGAAATATACCAGCTGGGTGCAACAGTGGCCCTTTGGGAGGCCAAGGTGGGTGGATCACTTGAGGTTAGGAGTTCGAGACCAGCCTGGCCAACATGGTGAAACCCTGTCTCTACTAAAAATAAAAAAATTAGTCGGGTGTGGTGGCGCAGGCCTGTAATCCCAGCTACTTAGGAGGCTGAGGCAGGAGAATCACTTGAGTCCAGGAGGCGGAGGTTGCAGCGAGCTGAGATCACACCACTGCACTCCTGCCTAGGTGATGAGTGAGACTCTGTCTCAAAAAAAAAAAAAAAAAAAAGAAAGAAAGAAAAATACCTCCTACCAACAACTTTCCTCCCTTACAATCTAGTCCAGGGTTACTCTTCAAACCTCTTAAGCTTCTACTCCTGTAGTCCTTCCTCACTTGACACACAGTCTTCTGCACCCCGTCCTTATCAGCTTGTTCACCAAACACTCCCTAAAGAGCCCAGTCCTGCTGGGACAACTCATAGCAGAGTATCCTATTGCCCCCCTAAAACAAAAAGCAACCTACTCTCACTCTCTGTCTGTATCTCCCTCTCTCAGGTAACACACAGAAAAACAACCAAATCCTCTTAGAGACCTACTTCATGAGTCAGTCTGTCCCAGATATCAGGAAAAAGTCACAAAACTAGTCATAAATCCCCAAGTCCCAATAAATGAACTGCTAAACCTAACTTTTGGTGTCTTTAATTACCAAGACAGAGTGGAAAAGGCACATAGAGATCAAAGGGAAGAAAAGAGAGACAAAAGATAGTCCCAATTTTTGGCCTACACTCACTATGCGAAAACTCCCACCTCCAGGTCATCCTGAGTGGAACCCAAGGGCTATTCCTGCATTTATAAAAAGCCTGGACACTGGAGCTAAGTAAGTAACAAAGGCCTTCAGGCTTGCAAACCCTCTGGAGCCTGTCATCAATGTGACAAAGAAGGGCAATGGAAGAAGGATTGTCTCCAACTCTGAAGGGAGGAGGGACTCCTAATTCCTTATTGTCCCTGGCTAAAGACTAAAGAGACCAAAGGCAAAAAACAGCTCCTATGTGGCAATCAGCCCCAGTCACAGCAATGGAGCCTTGGATGACCCTGGACATGACAGGCAAAAATATCAATATCCTTTTAAAGACAGAGGCTGGCCTGTCAGTTCTCACTGTCTGCCCTGGGCCTCTGTCTACCAAACACGACACTGTCATTGGTGTTAATAGCAAACTCCAGACTAGGATTTTCACTCTACCATGCAGCTGACCAACTTCTGCTGCAGTAAAACTTAGGGGTGTAGGCCTTTGGTGTGTTTATCAAAAATAAAAAATGATTCCTTTTAAGTCATCACAGAAACTTGAAACAAAGACTCCAAGCTATTCCTATGAAGCACTGGAGGATCTAAGGCTCCTGTCCAAAAACAGCCAAGACCCAAAACATCAGGCAATTAATGTTGCCTCAGCATAAGCTTCTATTCAAGAAAACAACTCACAGTGAGATGTGATGTTTTTATTTTTTTCTTATTTATTTACTGTATTTTAGGCGCTTTTAGTAAAACGACCTTATCTGCTAAAGAAATAATAAACCATACTACTAATTTATAAAAATTAACTCAGTATTGCTGGCTTTGCATGACTACCAAAATTTAAAAATGTGCAAAACCTGTTTCTCAGGAAGAATGGGCCAACATTCCTATACACCTCCTGGAACAAACTTTGGACCATAATGTGGGAATATCTGACTAAACAAACAATACAAAGAGAGTTCCTTGGACCTGGCCACTGCCAGTTCAAACTTCCATTTTTATCTATGAATAATAATAGCTTCACTCTGCCAAGGGGAAAATTGCTTTCTTACCTTGCTTTTTACCCAGAGCAATTCCCCTTCTGCCTTTACAGCAACCATGCCAGTTTCACTCCTTTTATAGAAAAACTCCACGAGAGAGTCAGTATATCTAAACCTTTCTCACAGAATCATTTATATACCTCATGATAGAACCCTAAAGGGGGAACCTTATTTCAAAAAGCTTATTAACACCACTCAACTCTACCATCCTCTAATTAGTCCAGTGACCACCAAATTTCCATTACTTTTACCACCTCGATGCAAAATGCTTTTGCAGCACAAATTTCACCATCACATAGAATTTGTTTGTGTTGACCAGGTGCAGTGGCTCACGCCTGTAATCCCAGCACTTTGGGAGGCTGAGGCGGGTGGATCACGAGGTCAGGAAATTGAGACAATCCTGGCCAACATGGTGAAACCCTGTCTCTACTAAAAATACAAAAATTAGCTAGACATGGTGGCATGTGCCTGTAATCCCAGCTACTCAGGAGGCTGAGGCAGGAGAATCGCTTGAACCAGGGAGTTGGAGGTTGCAGTGAGCTGAGATCGCACTACTGTATTCCAGCCTGGCAACAGAGTGAGACTCTGTCTCAAAAAAAAAAAAAAAAGAATTTGTTGGTATTTGTGGATCTTCAGCACGTCTACAACTCCCTCCACAATGGAAGGGATGATGTCCCATAGTTTACATTTCCCCTTATCTACCTTTTGCATTGGCTAACAAATCTCTCCCTTTCCCCATGTACCAACATCACAAGATCCACCGCTGAGCAGGATTCCTTGTTCCCTTGGGATTAGTGCTATCCTCTCTATCGGGACTAGCAGAGCCAGCCACAGAGACAGAGCCTTGGGAACCCAGCATAAACTGTCTCAGGAGACCAGAGTGGCCCTCTGACAAACAGCAGAGAGCCTCACTAGACTTCAGCAACAGCTGGACTTCCTGGCAGTCCTACAAAACCGAAGAGCCTTAGACCTTCTCACAGTTGTCTGTGAGCAACATGTTTGTAACGAGAAGAAGAATGTTGTTTTTGCATCAATCAAATTACAAATATATATTAATAGCATTTTCTTGGAACAAGAAAATCATTACCCAGGCAGACAAAATTGAATATTTAGGAGCGTCCATGGGAGCTTGGAAGCAATGGCTGTTTTCTGCCTTGCTCCCTTGAACAATGCCAGTCATTACCATATGTTTAGCTCTAACTTTTGGTCCAACTTTGTTTAAAATGCTGATTTCCCAGCCTAGCCAACATGTTGAAACCCTGTCTCTACTAAAAATACAAAAAATTAGCCAGGTGTGGTGGCAGGCGTTTGTAATCTCAGCTACTTGGGAGGCTGAAGCAGGAGAATTACTTGAACCTGGGAGGCAGAGGTTGCAGTGAGCTGAGAGCTGAGATCACTTCATTGCACTCCAGCCTGGGCGTCAGAGCCAGACTGTCTCAAAAAAAAAAAAAAAATTGCTGATTTCTTGCTCTGTCACCTACAGCAAATCCCGGTTCATGTGATGGTTTTGCAAGGCTTCCAACCTTTGGCTGCTAATGAGCTATCTCACATCTTGCCCACCAGTCCCCTGAAAGTCATGGCTTACACACTGTTAGACTAGGCAGGAAAAGACTTCAGGGCCCAGGTTAGGCAAGGACAATGCCGCACTCAGCAGGAAGCAGCTCTGGAAGAAATGACCTAGCCTCTCATCCTCCCATATGATTATGGGTCCTAAGATCTTTTAGGGAGGAATTGAGGTAGGATTGGGAGTCAAGGAAGTAACTATGTCCTTGGATGCAGCAACAGTGATAACCATACAGTCAACACAGTAAGCTCCAGCATTCACATTGTAGACCAGCTCATTCAAGCAAAGCTATCTCCAGTAGGGAATTTACCCTGTAGAGAGCATGCGCATTTTGATTTTACCTACCATCAAACTGACCCTTAGCTCATTGCAATAGTAAGAAACACACCCCTGGGTGGAGATTTAAGATGCTTATGAGACATGAGATGCATGAACAAGCATGTATAGCTACTGCAAATGTGCATCCAGAGGACCACCCACCCAGAGGACCACCCAGAACATGCTGACTAGTAACATCTCTTCCACCTCCTTATGAATAATCATGTAAGACCCCCATAAAGGGAGTTTCTGCAGCAATAATCAATGCTGTCTCATCCTTAGGAGCAGTCCACCCTGAATCCTCTCTCTCAGGGCATACTATCTATTCTGCACTTAACTTTCAAAATATCATTTTTCCTTTGCAATAAATTGCTCTGTACTGCATCTCCTTTGCTGTGTGTCTCTTGTTTACATTCTTTTAAATGAAGAAGACAAAGACAGAGGTATCACAGATGTCATCAACAGAACCTCTATGTCCTCCTTAGGAAAGTGAAATGAGCACCCAATGCCCAGATTTTGGTTATAATACATCAATCTCCAATAGAAGGAACCAGGGCTCCTTAGAAAAATAGCTGATTCTAGCGGTGAAGTAGGAAAAATACAAGATAAGCCTGGAACATCTTGAAATGCTACAAAAGAACTGGGCATGGTGGCTCATGCCTGTAATCCCAGCACTTTGGGAGGCTGAGGCAGGCGAATCACAAGGTCAGGAATTCGAGACCAGCCTGGTCAACATGGTGAAACCCCATCTCTACTAAAAATACAAAAAATTAGCCAGGCGTAGTGGTGGGCACCTGTAATCTCAGCTACTCGGGAGGCTGAGGCAGGAGAATAGCTTGAACCTGGGATGCAAGACCAGGAAGACTCAATATTGTTAATATGTCATTTCTTCCCAACCTGATCTATAGAATCAGTGCAATCCCAGTCAAAACCCCAGGACGTTATTTTGTGTATACTCACAAGCTGATTTAAAAATTTATATGGAGAGGCCGGGCACAGTGGCTCATGCCTGTAATCCCAGCACTTTGGGAGGCCGAGGTGGGCAGATCACCTGAGGTCAGGAGTTCAAGACCAGCCTCGCCAACATGGTGAAACCCCGTCTCTACTAAAAATACAAAAATTAGCTGGGTGTGGTGGCGGGTGCCTGTAATCCCAGCTACTTGGGAGGCTGAGGCAGGAGAATCGCTTGAACCCAGGAGGTGGAGGTTGCAGTGAGCTGAGATTGCACTCCAGCCTGGGCAACAGGAGCGAAACTCTGTCTCAAAAAACAAAAAACAAACAAACAAAAAAGGTTTATATGGAGAGGCAAAAGGCCTAGCCAGCACAATATAGGAGGAAAACAAAGTCAAAGTACTGCCACACCTGACTTCAAGACTTTCTATAAAACTGCAGTAATCCAGACAGATAATTGGTATAGTCATTGCTGGAAGGAGTATGAAGCTTCCTCAAAAAATTAAAATATAGAACTACCATATGATCCAGCAATCCTACCACTGAATATATATTCAAAGGATATAAAATCTGTGTGTCAAAGAGATGTCTGCACTTCCATGTTCATTGCAGCATTATTCTTTCTTCTTTCTTTAGAGGTAGGGTGTCACTGCATTGCCCAGCTTGGTCTCAGAATCCTGGCCTTAAGTGGTCATCTTGCCTCAGCCTCCTGAGTAGCTGGATTCCATGTGCGAGCCACCACACCTGGCTGCAGTGTTATTCTCAAGAGCCAAGATATGGAATCAACCTAAGTATCCATTAATGGATGAATGTATAAAGAAAATGTGGTATATATACACAGTGGGATACTATTCAGTCAACAACATGAATGAACCTAGAAGACATTATGTTAAGTGAAATAAGCCAGGCGCAAAAAGACAAACATGATCTCACATATATGTGGAATGTAAAAAAAGCCAAACTCATATACATGGTGAGTAAACCGGTAGTTGTCAGAGGCTGGGAGGTGGGAGGATTGGGGAGGGGTAAGCAAATGACACAAAATTTCTTTTCTTTCTTTCTTTTTTTTTTTTTAAAGACAGAGTCTCGGCTGGGCGCAGTGGCTCAAGCCTGTAATCCTAGCACTTTGGGAGGCCGAGGCAGGCAAATTGCCTGAGCTCAGGAGTTAGAGACTAGCCTGGGCAACATGGTGAAACCCTGTCTCTACTAAAATACAAAAGAAATTAGCCGGGTGTCGTGGCATGCGCCTGTAGTCCCAGCTACTCGGGAGGCTGAGACAGGAGAATTGCTTGAACCCGGGAGGTAGAAGTTGCAGTGAGCTGAGATTGCACCACTGAACCACTGAACTCCAGCCTGGGCAACAGAGAGAGACTCTACCAAAAAAAAAAAAAAAAGACAAGAGTCTCTCTCTGTCACCCAGTCTGGAGTGCAGTGGCATGATCTTGGCTCATTGCAGTCTCTGAATCACTCGGGTTCAAGTGATTCTTGTGCCTCAACCTCCCAAGTAGCTGGGACTATATGCATGTGACACCACATCCAGCTAATTTTTGTATTTTTAGTTTCACCATGTTGACCAGTCTGGTCTCGAACTCCTGACCTCAAGTGATCCACCCGCCTCGGCCTCCCAAAGTGCTGGGATTACAGGCATGAGCCACCATGCCCGACCAACACAAAATTTCAATTAGATAGGAAGAATAAGTTTAAGAGATCTATTGTACTTTATGGTGATTAAACTTAGTAACCACATATTGTATATTTCAAAATTATAAGATAAATTATTTGAAGCATTATTACCACAAAAAGTATGTGAGGTAATGTATATGTTAATGGCTTGCTTTAGCCATTTTACAATGTATACGTATATGAAAACATGATGCTATACACCCAAATATAACTTTTATTTGTCAACCAAAATAATTTAATTTAAAAAAGACAGTGTTGTATTGGCAAAAGAATAGACAAATAGATCAATGAAACAGAATAGAGAACCAAGAAATAGACCCACGTAAATACAGATAAAGGAGCAAAGACAATACAGTGGAGAAAAGACTGTCTTTTCAATAAATGGCACTGGAAAAACTGGACATCCACATGCAAGAAAAGTGAAATGAAAAGAGCTCTCTTGAAAGGTTGTTGTGAAGGTCATCTGTGACAGGAACAAAAAGTGCCCAGCAGGGTCTCTGACAGCAAGCTCCTACATTAATCTAATGGCTGGACTTCAATAGCCTTAGCCCCGTCTCCATAAAACTTTGCTATGAAGGCTACAATGATTCCTGTCAGTCATGCAGTCCTACTAACCTGCTGGGTAGGATACAATATCGAAGGGGCCAGTATACTGCCCTCAGGGGGCTCTGTGGCCTCTTGACCTTGTGGATGATGCTGACCATAATGTTCTGCTTGTCCCTGGCTGAAGACAGGCCCCTCCTGCAGAGGCCAGGCATGAATGCACATCTGAGTAAGACTCTATTATGACTCAAGAATAGCAAACATAAATAAATAAACATGATAACATAACAAACTAGGTTTCATTTTCTGCTGCTGTAACAGAATACCACAGACTGGGCAATTTATTAAAATATGTATTTCTTACAGTTCTGGAGGCTGGGAAGTCCAAGAGCATGGTATCAGCATCTTGTGGGGGCCTTCCTGTAGTGTCATCCCATGGTGAAAGGAGGTAGGGCAAAGGGGCCAAACATACTTTTTATCAGGAGCCCACTCCCACAATAATGACATTAATCTATTCAACCTAATCAACTCTTAAAGGTCTCCCCTCTTAATACTATCAGAATAGCAATTAAATGTCAACATGAGTTTTGGGGGGTCATTCAAACTGTCAGAGGCATGTGAACCAGAGCAACTCCATCTTGAATAGGGGCTGAGTAAAATAAGGCTGAACCCTACTGGGCCACATTCCCAGATGGTTAAGGCATTCTAAGTCATAGGATGAGACAGAAGGTCAGCACAAGATACAGGTCCTAAAGACCTTGCTGATAAAATGGGTTGCAGTAAAGAAGCTAGCCAAAACCCACCAAAACCAAGATGGTGATGAGAGTGACCTCTGGTCGTCCTCACTGCTACACTCCCACCAGCACCATGACAGTTTACAAATGCTGTGGCAACGACAGGAAGTTACTCTATATGGTCTAAAAAGGGAAGGCATAAATAACCCACCCCTTGTTTAGCATATCATCAAGAAATAACCATAAAGATGGGCAACCAGCAGCCCTCAGGGGTGCTCTGTTGATGGAGTAGCCATTCTTTTGTTCTTTTACTTTTCTAATAAACTTGGTTTACTTTACTCTATGGACTTGCCCTGAATTCTTCCTTGTGCAAGATCCAAGAGCCCTCTCTTGGGGTCTGAATCAAGACTCCTTTCCTGTAACAAAACCTTAGCATTAGGTAATCTGTGGTTTACTTTTTTTTTTTTTTTTTGAGACAGAGTTTCTACTCTTGTTGCCCAGGCTAGAGTGCAATGGCACGATCTTGGCTCAACGCAACCTCCACCTCCAGGGTTCAAGCGATTCTCCAGCCTCAGCTTACCGAGTAGCTGGGATTACAGGCATGTGCCACCATGCCTGGCTAATTTTGTATTTTTGGTAGAGATGGGGTTTCTCCATGTTGGTCAGGCTGGTCCCAACCTCAGGTGATCCTCCTGCCTTGGCTTCCCAAAGTGCTGGGATTACAGGAGTCAGCCACCGAGCCTGGCCTGGTTTATGTATATTTATCTTTATTCCTACATTTCCATGATTATGAGATTCACAGTTCATCCAATAGACTTGAACTGACCCAATGCCCAGCACTTTCTTAAGTTCTTACAGATGAACAAAGCTAATATTCACAGATTCTATTTATTTATGGCTTAGGACTACCTACTGTAAATTACTGGGGGCCAGTCCATTTTGGAGTTCATAACCTAAAGCAGAAACTCAGGTGGCTAATATGTTACTTTCATGAAGGATTGTTATGAGTGTATCATTTCAATTGTCTTGCAGAAGCCTCATTTGTTCTGTTAGATACAGTAAGTTCCTCTTCAAAGGTTCAGCTTCTTCAACTTCCTTGTTCTTTGTTTTCTATTTCTAAAACCCAACTTCCTTGTACTCTCTTGTTCCTAGTTACCCGCTCTGTAAACACCAACTCCCGCCAGTTCCAATCTGTAACTTGCAGAGGGCTCTTCCTGCCTTTGCCATGCCCTGACATGTTTTGCACAGTAAAGGATGGCCTCTCTCTTCTCGCTGAAACAGCCCTTCCCGCCCTACTTACTCACACTCCTGCTCCATTTGAAATAGCCAATTGGGATCAGCTTAGATTGTGCAGTCTGACTTCAGCAAATGGGGACAGGACACAGTAGCAGGGGCTGATTGCGTTAGGGATAAAACCCGCTTCTGTCCATTGTTCGGTGTGCTCTTGCAGCAGCCAGAAGTGCAAGCAGCACCCTTCTGCAGAAGTAAATTTGCCTTGCTGAGAAGTCCTTTTGTTTGAGTGCTTGTCTTCTTTGCGACTCCAAGCTCTTGTTTTTTTTTTCTAAATAGCTGCTATCTTTTTGTTTTTGTTTTTGTTTTTGTTTTTTTTGAGATGGGGTCTCACCTTGTTGCCCAGGCTGGAGTGCAATGGTGTGATCTCAGCTCATTGCAACCTTGGCCTCCTGGGTTCAAGTGATTCTCCTGCCTCAGTCTCCCGAGTAGCTGGGATTACAGGTGTGTGCCACCATGCCTGGCTAATTTTTTGTATCTTTAGTACAGATGGGGTTTCTCCATGTTGGCCAGGCTGGTCTTGAACTCCTGACCTCATGATCTGCCTGCCTTGGCCTCCCAAAGTGCTGCGATTACAGGCATGAGCCAATGTGCCCAGCCTCTTTTTTTTTTTTTTTTTGAGACGGAGTTTCACTCTGTTATCCAGGCTGGAGTGCAGTGGTGTGATCTTGGCTCACTGCAACCTCTGCCTCCTGCCTCAGCCTCCCGAGTAGCTGGGATGACAGGTGCCTGCCACCATGCCTGGCCAATTTTTGTATTTTTAGTAAAGACAGGGTTTTGCCATGTTGGCAAGGCTGGTCTCCTGACCTCAGGTGATTCACCCACCTCGGCCTCCCAAAGTGCTAGGATTACAGGCATGAGCCACTGCACCTGGCCCCTTGTTTTTAATTTACAAATGTAATTAATTTAGCTTTGTAAACCAAAAAGTGACTGAGGCAGATCTCAATCAATTCGGTATTCATTTTGCCAAGGTTGAAAATATGCTGGGGGAAAAGAAACATAAGCCACAATAGGACCTGTGACCTGTGCTTTTTCCAAGGAGGATTTTGGGACCTTCAATATTTAAAGGAGAAAGGGCAAGCAGGAGAGGAAAGAAAAAAAAAGGAAGGACAGGTAGGCAATGATGCGAGTGGTTACATACTTGTGAGGCTGTGATTAGTCCTTAGTGAATCTACATTTTACATGTGAAAAGAAGGGAGGGAGGAAGAAGTCAGTTATGCATTCACATCATGTTCAGTAAATCTATATTTTACATAAGCTAAAGTAAGCATGTAAAATTACAGTTATATGTTTGGGAACAAAAGGAAGGCAAATTTTGCATGACTCAGTTTCCAAGCTTAACTTTCTTGCATAGCAGTTTGGGGTCCTGAGATTCTATTTTCTTTTCACATTTCTCCCTTGTTATTCAAAATCTTTCAGAGAAAGCATGGTAGAAGAAAATGGGTGTCTGCTCATGGGTTTAGTCTAACCTCTTCTGCTAGAATGATTTATTCCTGGAAGATGAGATCCCATGTTGCTAGGAAGGCTTATTCTTAGGGGCTTGTAAAGTCTCTTGTCCCATGGAGAAAAATAGAGGGAGGAAGAGAGAAAGAAAAAAGGGAAAGAGAGAAAGAAAAAAGGGAAAAAGAGAAACAAAAGGGAGGGACCAAGACCAGATTATAGAAACAAAGGGAATGCAATCCTGGAAAAGTAATTTAGGATATGCTACCGAGAAGTCCATACTTCAGTAGGTAGGCACAAAGGTGGGGTGTGTGAGGCTCTGATTAGTGCTCAGTGAATCTACATTTTATAGGTGAAAAGAAGGGAGTAGAGAAAAAATCTATTATGCATTTGTCTTGCACTTAGTAAGTCTACATTGTACATAAGAAAAAGTAAGCTTGTGAAAATACAGTTATCTGCAAATGCTACTATTTCTGCTATTACGCTACAAAGTTTAAGTTTTCTAGCTTCAGTTTGCAGGGCTGTAAGAAAAGCACAGTTTTAATTTCTAGTGATTCCAAGTGAGAAAAATGGGAGAAATTTTTCTTTTGAAAATGTTACTTTGGAGACTTATAGCCAGGAAAGAATTCAGGATCTAGTCTGAATAAATTGTAGACAAATAGTGAAAACTGAAAAACAATGGACAAGGCTAGAATCTTATAATGAGTATACTATAATTTTCTTTGAAATAATTTTTCTCTCTCCAGTCCCCTATTTTTACCAAAATCAAAATCATAGTGGGACCAACGTATCTGCAAAATAAGTTTTAGTCTTATTATACTTGGTCTGATTATTTGCATAAAGCGCAGCAAGAATAATTATTGGCCAATAGGCTCTTTTTTTTTTTTTTGAGACAGA
This sequence comes from Homo sapiens, assembly GCF_000001405.40. Classification (NCBI taxonomy): domain Eukaryota; kingdom Metazoa; phylum Chordata; class Mammalia; order Primates; family Hominidae; genus Homo; species Homo sapiens. The sequence goes on from NT_167247.2 coordinate 2,563,088, forward strand.
GTTTCCACTCTTGTTGCCCATGCTGAGTGCAATGGTGCAATCTCAGCTCACTGCAACCTCTGCCTCCCGGGTTCAAGCGAGTCTCCTGCCTCAACCTCCCGAGTAGCTGGGATTACAGGCATGCGCCACCAAGCCCAGCTAATTTTGTATTTTTAGTCAGGACGGGGTTACTCCATGTTTGTCAAGCTGGTCTCGAACTCCCAACCTCAGGTGATCCATCCGCCTCGGCTTCCCAAAGTTCTGGGATTACAGGCCTGAGCCACTGTGCATGGCCCTAGGCTCTTTTTGAATTGGTTTTGCTAGAGCTTTTCATAAGGAATCTCAGATTAGAGTTTTTCTTGAGTCCAGCCAAGGATTTATCTGTGCCTGCAGATACTTGTATGAATGAGGTAAATTTCTGTCTTCTCAAGGTCTCAAAATAACGTGTGGTTCCTAGGTCTGTGAGAAAGTGATATTCTTACTTACTACCTGTCAGGAACCCTGTAAAGGAAATGCGTAGACAAAGTATGAGGTCAGTTTTTCCAAGGGTTTTTTTTTTTTAATCAGTTCTATAACATCAATCTCAAGTTCTCAAAGCAGTCTGCTTATATCTTAAAATATGGCATTCTAGCCAAAGCCTTGGTAAAATAATCAGTGTCAAAATTATGTCCTGTTAAGAAAGAAAACAGATTTTTATTAAACTCATGCAACTAAGTATATTGCCATAAATCATGAATACTCAGAAATAAGGCCAGGCGTGGTGGCTCATGCCTGTAATCCCAGCACTTTGGGAGGCTGAGGCAGGCAGATCATGAGGTCAGGAGATCGAGACCAGCCTGACCAACATGGTGAAACCCTGTCTCTACTAAAAATACAAAAATTAGCCAGGCGTGGTGGCGGGTGCCTGTAATTCCAGCTACTCAGGAGGCTGAGACAGGAGAATCGCTTGAACCCGGGAAGCAGACATTGCAGTGAGCTGAGATCGCCCCACTGCACTCCAGCCTGGGAGATAGAGCAAGACTCCTTCTCAAAAAACAAACAAACAAACAAAATCTCAGAAATAGTTTCTGAATTCTGGAGAAATCAGGTAGAGAGAAAGAAATATGCCTCAAATTTTGCTTACAAGAGTACGCTTCATTGTGAAAAGCTGTAAATGTTCAAAAGAAAAGTTTTCTTGACTCTGAAAAACAAAGCAAAAAGAATCAGCAATGTTTCCAACAAAAAAAGTTATAAAAGATTATTTTGGCCAGGCGTGGTGGCTCACCTGTAATCCCAGCACTTTGGGAGGCCAAGGCGGGTGGATCAGAAGGTCAGGAGTTTCAGACCAGCTTGGCCAACATGGTGAAACCCCATCTCTACTAAAAATACAAAAAATTAGCTGAGCGTGGTGGTGCACATCTGTAGTCCCAGCTACTTGGGAGGCTGAGGCAGGAGAATCACTTGAACCCAGCAGGTGGAGGTTGATGGTGAGCTGAGATCATGCCACTGCACTCCAGCCTGGGCAACAGAGCGAGACTCCATCTCAAAATAAATAAAATAAAATAAAATAAAATAAAATAAAATAAAATAAAATAAACCCCTCTAACTAGGCAGAATTACTTTTCCTTTAACAAAAGCCCTATTTCCATGCCTTCTTATGTTTCTACCAAAAACCACATTCTACTTTTCTTTGCATGTTGCTTGTAGAATTATTTATCTTATATCTAGTAATTTAAATTACATCTATGAATTGTAATGTTAACTCTTAGTAACTCTTATTTTTAGTGAAAAAACTAGGAGGTACGCAATTTTAATTAGTACCTCCTGCAGAACGCAATCTCGGTTCACTGCAACCTCCGCCTCCCAGGTTCAAGCGATTCTCCTGCCTCAGTCTCCCAAGTAGCTGGGACTACAGGTGTGTGCCACTACGCCCGGCTACTTTTTTTTATTTTTAGCAGAGATGGAGTTTCACCATGTTACCCAGGACGGTCTCAATCTCCTGACCTTGTGATCCGCCCGCCTTGGCCTCTGAAAGTGCTGGGATTACAGGCGTGAGCCACCGTGCCCGGTCTATCATAGGATCTTATAAGGAGATCAACTGCATTTAGATAGGTGCTTTTAATTTGGCCTGTATCTTTTAACTGGACCATTGAACTCAGGGTAGAGCCCACACTGAATTTTCAGTGCCCAGAAAGAGAGTAATGCCATGGGGACCTGGCCATACAATATTTTTAGTGTGTTTTGCTACAAAAACTTTCTCTCAAGGCTGGTGGGCAACCCAGTGCCAATCAGCCCACTCTGTGATCAGCCCATTTCCCAGCCATTGTATACGCCAAAGTCAAGTTTTCTCACAATATAAAGTGATTTCTGATCCCATTCAAAGCCAAAATCAGGTCATGCAAGGCAAAGGAACAGAGTTTTTGACCTGAGAGGATTTTGTCCTCTCTTGGATTCCCTCTTGGGATTCCCTGAGGAAAAAACAGCAGTTTCTCACAAAAATGCGTCTGTGGTGCCTTTTGCATTTTTCTTAAGGGATCCCAGGCTATTAGAATTTTATTTAATTTAATTTTTTTCTTATGTGGCACCAAGGTTGGCAAGAGGAAGGAGGGGCTGATAGAAATAAATAGGGGAGGCCGGGCGCAGTGGCTCATGCCTGTAATCCCAGTACTTTGGGGGGCCGAGGTGGGTGGATCACTAGGTCAGGAGTTCGAGATCAGCCTCGCCAATATAGTGAAACCCCGTCTCTACTAAAAATACAAAAATTAGCTGGGTGTGGTGGCAGGCGCCTGTAGTCCCAGCTACTTGGGAGGCTGAGGTGGGAGAATCGCTTGAACCTGGGAGGTGGAGGTTGCAGTGAGCTGAGACCACGCCATTGCACTCCAGCCTGGGTGACAGAGTGAGACTCCGTCTCAAAAAAAAAAAAAAAAAAAACAAAGAAATAGGGAAACAGAGGAAGTGCATGTGGCTAGCAGGGGGTTGAAAAAGAGAGACATTTAGTTGACTGAGAAATGTTTACCCAGGGAGAAAAGAGACCTTAAAGCAATATGTACACACTGAAGTCTAAAATATCAGTTTTAATTAAGTCAAATTTTGACTATAGAGCTCTAAAAAAATCCTTTGACATCTCTTATTACCAGATTTTAGCCAGGAGGAACAGTTGATATTCCTGGCTTTTCACCTTCTTTACCAAAAGGTATCCTCCCAAGTGCCTTAACCAAAGTTATGACTATTAGGCCACAAGGTGGGTGGCCCTTAGTTGTTCCCTGATGAGGTGGCAAACCTGAGCCATGGCAGAAGTGTTTAATGTTTTTTTTTTTAGTTTTGCTCTGTTGCCCAGGCTGGAGCACAGTGGTGTGATCTCGGCTCACTGCAGCCTCCGCCTCTCAGGTTCAAGCGATTCTCCTGCCTCAGCCTCCTGAGTAGCTGGGACTACAGGTGCCCACCACCACACCCGACTAATTTTTGTATTTTTAGTAGAGACAGGGTTTCACCATGTTGGCCAGGATGGTCTCAATCTCTTGACCTCGTGATCCGCCCACCTCGGCCTCCCAAAGTGCTGGGATTACAGGCATGAGCCACCGCACCCGGCTGAGAAGTGTTTAATTTTAACTACCAGAAGTGTTTGAAGTGATTTTTTTGCTCTTAATTTAGTCAAGGGAATTTTTGAAGACTAGCCATGACACTACTATGTGTCCTTTTAAGACTTGATGTTTTCATTAATTGTTTAGAATAAGAAATCTCTGAAATCTTTAATAGCCCACAGAGAGAGGCTGGGAAGGTGTTCCTGTTATATAAATGAAACCTCTCAGGTAGTCAAATTTTATCTTTTTTTAACCAGCTGGGGGTTTTACAGGTGCAACCTGACTTTCTGCAGCTGTGGGCTTTCCAGTATAGCTCCTGGGCCAGGGATCTCTATCTGCTCCCCAGAGGCTTGTACCTAAGATACAGGGCTCCCTGGGCTTCTCAGTACAGGTGGACTTAAACTAATGGGCTAGAAACAGAGAAAGGGAGGTAGAATTTCCCACTTACAGCCAGACCCTGCAGCACAGCTTTCCAGAGCCTCAGCCCCCCTGCCCTGGCTGATGCTCCCTCCCTGACTCCCCTCACCAGGGCCCTGGCCCCACCACACAGCTGAGCTGGCCCAAGCCAAAGAGTTGCTGGAGCAGCAGCTGGAGTGGATCAGGCTCTGCTGGAGGGGGTGGGGGGCCCAGGCCCTGATGGTCAAGATCCAGAACCTGAAGAAACAGATAAGGAAGGAGGCACCAAGAGAGCCTGGGAGGAGACACCCAAGCTTCCCACCAGTGCCTGTGGCACCCCTCAGCATTGGAAATACTGTGCACCACCCCCAGGAACCCCAGGATCAGAAATATCCCAGCTGCTCCCAGGCCACTGGGAAAATGGAAGAGACCACAAAAGGCCAGAAGTTAGCAGTGTGATGGTTAATACTGAGTGTCAACTTGGTTGGATTGAAGGACGCAAAGTACTGATCCTGGGCATGTCTGTGAGGGTGTTGCCAAAGGAGATTAACATTTGAGTCAGTGGACTGGGAAAGGCAGACCCACCCTAAATCTGGGTGGGCACCATCTAATCAGCTGCTAGCGTGGCCAGAATATAAAGCAGGGAGAAAAATGTGAAAAGGCTAGACTGGCCTCCCAGCCTACATCTTTCTCCCATACTGGATGCTTCCTGCCCTCGAACATCGAACTCCAAGTTCTTCCGCTTTGGGACTCGGACTGGCTTCCTTGCTCCTCAGCTTGCAGGCGACCTATTGTGGGACCATGTGATCATGCGAGTTAATACTACTTAATAAATCCCCCTTTATATATATATTTATTCTGTTAGTTCTAGAGAACCCTGACTAATACAGGCAGGTAGTGGGGAGCCAGGGCTCTGCAGTCTCAGTCCCATGCCTCCTTTGACCTCACAGCAGTGCACCTCAGCCTTACAGGAATTTACCCTGGATCATGTCCTACAATAACCTCTCCCCAAACACAGTAAGAAGATGTAGCATGCAGATACCACAGACACACATGTGTTCCATTTTTCGTTAGGATTTTTTTTTTTTTTTGAGATGGAGTTTCCCTCTTGTTGACCAGGCTGGAGTGCAAAGGTGCGATCTCGGCTCACTGCAACCTCTGCCTCCTGGGTTCAAGCGATTCTTGAGCCTCAGCCTCTCGAGTAGCTGGGATTACAGGCGCTCGTCATCACGCCCGGTTATTTTTGTATTTGTAGTAGACGCTGGGTTTCTCCATATTGGTCAGGCTGGTCTTGAACTTCCGACTTCAGGTGATCCACCCGCCTCGACCTCCCAAAGTGCAGGGATTATATGCGTGAGCCACCGCGCCCAGCCTAGTTAGGATTTTTAAAATTCTGACAATCAGGAATGGGGGTTCAGGAGTGGTGCTGATGCAGAGGAGGGAAGCCATGGGGTGGGGGCTGTTAGGGGTGGAGGCAGTAGTGTCTCCTTCACCCCCACCCTGGGGTCTTCTCCTGAAGGACAGACTATCACATCCCAGAATTGGTGAGTCCTCTACTGTGTCTGTTCAACTGAAGAGAAAATATGGCACAGTCAGAATAAGGCATGAAAAGGGGAAAGTGAGGCAGGAACACACGGCACACATGCAGACGCTGGTGTACTGTGTGGGTTCAGAGGACGGACGTGGGGGTGAGGGAAGGGATGTAATATGATGAGAGAAGACAGAAACCCCACATAAAGGTCAGGAAAACATCCCAACACAGCATCAAAGGCCAGGGGGCATGAACCAGTCAAGTGTCCATTATGCATCAGATGCCCATGACCTATGTGATGAGATTGAAGAAAAACATACTAAGGTTCAGGGAGGAACTAAGTGTTTCATGAGATCAGCACTCACCGTGGAGGAGACATCTGTCTCATCAGGCAGCTCACTAACACTGACCTCGAAGCGATGCTGCCCATCACACTGGATCCTTGCATGATTCTCATCTGACACAAACGCTGATGGCCAAGCCCTGTTCCAAACCAGCCTGCTCTAGTCACCTGAAAGGAGGCAGAGGGTAGAAACAGAAGACCCAAAGAGGGAAGACACCCAGAGGGAGGGAAGAGGATGTAAGGTGTGAAAAGATAGAAAACATAAGGAATGGGAGAGTAGGTGTCCTTCTGGGTGTGGGGCTCACCTGTCATTGATAAAGGCAATGCTCATCCACTTGATGTCTATGACGTGGCCCGGTAGGTTGGTAACCATAGAACTGGTCATTGAAAATCTTTTGGGGTCATTCCTGGACATGTGCAGAACAGCAAACAATTTTAGTCACCTGATGTGTTTCCTTGGCTTCCTGTTCAGTTTTCCTTAGGCCTCAGCTGCTGCTATTGCTGCTGGCTGCTCTCCACATTCTCCTAAATTCCAGATGGGTGTGAGGAGGTAAGGGCAGGAAGAAATAGTGGATTGTGGATTGAGGTGCGATTTCCCACCACTGGAGGGGACAGATTCATAAGCTGGCATTGAAGAGGTTCCTGCCCTTTGCACAGTGTGTTTGGTCACCCCAGTGCTCAGGCTGAACCCTGAGAAGAAAGAGGAACTTGACTGTCTGAAGGCTCTTGGGTGGTGTTTAAGACCCCTGGCCACTGTGTCCTGGCTGAATGTATACATGCAGATGGAATCTCTTTCTTTCTTTTTTTTTTTGAGACGGAGTCTCGCTCTGTCTCCAAGGCTGGAGTGCAGTGGCGCAATCTTGGCTCACTGCAAGCTCCGCCTCCTGGGTTCACGCCATTCTCCTGCCTCAGCCTCCTGAGTAGCTGGGACTACAGGCACCCGCCACCACACCCGGCTAATTTTTTGTATTTTTAGTAGAGACAGGGTTTCACTGTGTTAGAATGGTCTCGATCTCCTGACCTGGCGATCCGCCTGCCTCGGCCTCCCAAAGTGCTGGGATTACAGGCATGATCCATTGCACCCGGCCTCGATATAGAAGTTTTTAAGAGCCAGACGCTTGAACTTGTGGGCATCGGTTTGGGGAAAGAGTCAGTTGGAGTAAAGTTATCTTGAGGCATTAACTTTTTTGCTTCTTAAGGCCATTGGTCTTTTATGCTAGTCTTTCTACAAACATAACATGAGGAAACGCCTAGGCTGGCAGCAATGTTTTCAGCCAGCTGAACAAATAGGTTTTTGGCTAAAGGAGGAGGCTCTGGTAACTTCTGGTTTATATGCTCAAAGAATGACTTAAAGACTCAGAATTGCTCCTGGGCTGACTGCTTGGTTCAAGTCTTCTTTATAATATACAAAGTTGTTTTAGCTTTTTGACCGTAGCTTTGTAATGCCATGGAGTAGCCTATAGTCCATACAGGTAGATTTGGCCTTAAGATAGTAAGATTTACAGGATTGCAAATGCTTGTCTTACAATCTGGTTTTGCTGGTACTTTGATGAGCAAGATTGGCTTTGGCCTCAGTGATGATCGGTCAGTGAACTGCATTGTGCAGTTCCAGCAAGCTATTGCTAGGGCCTTGGAGGGACAAACAGGGAGTGTACATACAATTTTATACTGGCAGTTTTTATAGTACTTTGTAGGACTAGAGATTGTGAGATAGGTTGGGTTCATGGATGTTAACTGACAAATATCAAAGTATATGGATATAGCCCCCACCCTGGGAAGGAGAGGCTTGGGTTTGACTTACAAGACTTCTTTTTTTTTTTTTACTTGTATGAATCTTAAACTAAGTCCTAGGTAAAGACTTCGGTCATAGCATATATAAGGCTGGCCATTTCTTGGGTCACAAATTGAACAGGTGGTCTGATTATAAGTACAAGTTCTTTTTTTTTTTTTGAGACGGAGTCTCGCTCTGTCTCCAAGGCTGGAGTGCAGTGGCGCAATCTTGGCTCACTGCAAGCTCCGCCTCCCGGGTTCACGCCATTCTCCTGCCTCAGCCTCCCGAGTAGCTGGGACTATAGGAGCCCACCACCACGCCCGGCTAATTTTTTTTTTTTATTTTTAGTAGAGATGGGGTTTCACCGTGTTAGCCAGGATGGTCTCGATCTCCTGACCTTGTGATCCACCCGCCTCGGCCTCCCAAAGTGCTGGGATTACAGGCGTGAGCCACCGCGCCCGGCCTTATAAGTACAAGTTCTTAAGCGAGTCTTTGTACACTTATAAGTATGGTACAACAGAGTTCTAGTTATACTGTTCTTTGACTACGTAGTATGTGTACAGTGGGGACACTTTTCTGTCAGTGTTTCTTCTAGTATGGTTAAGGGGGTAACAACATCAAAACAATGTACAGCATATTTAAATCTAGCAAGGACAAAAGAGGTCTTTATTTGGGGGAGGAGGTTGAGCACAGTGACAGAACAATAGGAAAACAGTTAGTATTACAGGAAAACTACTAGTCTTAAGATTTCTAACTACATTTACTTGCTTGATGAGTCTTTAAGCTTCAGCCGTGCATAGACTAGTCAGCTTCCGGTGTGTGACTAGAGCAAGGCTTGTTGTTTCTTCAAACTTCAGCTGTGCGTAGACTGGTCAGCCTCCGGAGTGACCAGAGCAGGGCTGTCGTCTTCAGCAGCAGCTTGGTCTTGTCTCAGGATCAGCCGGGTTGGATGATCTGGGTGTTGCTGGCTGGTTCACTTGTCCTGAGCTGCCGATTTTAGCTGACTGTGATGGAGTTAAGGCACGATTCTTGCAACTTTAACAGCAGTGGGAGTGGACAAGATTACTCTGTGGGGCTTATCTTACATGGGTCTTAGAGAAGTTGGGTTCTACTTTTTAACTTAAACAAAGCTACTAGGTTTAAAGGGTTTACTGGGTCTGTTAGACTTCTAGGCATTCTTTTATGTACTTAACTATGAACACTTTGCATGGCTGTTTCTAAAGCCTGCATTTGATTTCTTAAGGTTAGTTCTTTTAGTTCTTGGAGATCACTTTTAATTTGACGGTGGCTGATTGAACAAAATCTTATAGGGTAAATACTTAGTTTGTTTGGTGGGGGTGCGCTTGGCTCAGAGGAGGACTATAGGCAAGACTTGATTCTGTCTCAGATGAGTTTCTTGGCAATATTTCTTCAGTAGCTGCTTGAGTGTCTGGTTCATGCATTCTACAGTAAAATAATTTTTTTTCTCTTTTTTTCCTTCAACTTTGCTCTAGAAAAAAGAAGTGTCCAAGGCCTATTTTTTTAGCCCTAGCTATTCAGACAGTGTTATCTTATAACTGTCCTTGGGTTGGGCACGGTGGCTCACATCTGTAATCCCAGCACTTTGGGAGGCCGAGGTGGGCAGATCACGAGGTCAGGAGATCGAGACCATCCTGGCTAACATGGTGAAACCCTGTCTCTACTAAAAATACAAAAAATTACCCAGGTGTGGTGGTGGGTGCCTATAGTCCCAGCTACTCGGGAGGCTGAGGCGGGAGAATGGCGTGAACCTGGGAGGCGGAGCTTGCAGTGAGCCGAGATTGTGTCATGGCACTCCAGCCTGGGTGACAAAGCGAGACACCATCTAAAAAAAAATATATGTATAAAACTGTCCTTGAGGTAAGCTTGCTAAGCAGAAAAAAACTTGTTCTTTTCTTTTTCTTTTTAACTTTTGCCTTGCCACATTCTAAGCCTTAGCTTTAACTTTTCTTAAAGTAAGTAAATGCAATACTTATTATTATTATTATTATTTTTAAATTTCTGCCTCAGAATGAATAAATTACATGTATTTTTTTTTTTGAAGCCATGCCTTTGGATTAGGGCAAACTCTAGGATATTTAAGTGAATTCCCTGAGGAATGTGGACACTGTAAGCAGGTGAGTGCATTATTCTCTGCTTCTCTCTCCCCACAGGGCCGTCGTTCACCCTCCTCCACCTTGTCCCCTGCACTGGGAGGCAACCACAACAGGCACGGCCCATGCTCCTGCACCACCTGGCTTCTGCTTGGGTGTGGATGATAACAGGCACCTGCAGGAGATGGGAGCATGCGGGGAGAAGTAACTCAGGGTTTTCATTTCCCTCACTCCCTCTGGACAGCTCTGTGGTTCCGTAATCATTGCCGTCCTCTACCTACAGCCACAGGCATGTGGGTCTGCCCCTAGTGAAAGCTACAGATTTCCTTGGGTTCTGGAAACTGCTCCCTTCGTTGCTCTTTCAAGCTTCAAGATGAAAACAGTTTCCTGCCAGGAATAATCCCAGGGAGCTTCAGCGCCCTTTGTGGCTTTCTTAGCCCTGCCGGCACCTGTGTAGAAGGTGCCATCTCAGGCCAGCGCGGTGGCTCAAACGTGTAATCTCAGCACCTTGAGAGGCTGAGGCCAGAGGATCACCTGAGGTTGGGAGTTCAAGACCAGCCTGACCAACATGGAGAAACCCTGTCTCTACTAAAAATAAAAAATTAGCTGGGCGTGGTGGCGCATGCCTGTAATCCCAGCTACTCGGGAGGCTGAGGCAGGAGAATTGCTTGAACCCAGGAGGCAGAGGTTGTGGTGAGCCGAGATCACACCATTGCACTCCAGCCTGGGCAACAAGAGTGAAACTCAGTCTCGGAAAAAAAAAAAAGGTGCCATCTCTTTCCTGCCAGGTCCCTGACTGACCACAGGGTGCTCCCACAAACGGAGAAGTGACAAGAATGTATTTAAGACATTGCACTAACACATCTATTCATGATGTTAATTCAAAAAATTGACTTACTACAATAAAAGGGAAAAATAAGAGTATTCTGGAAACAGAGCAGGAAGGAAGGCAAAGGTGAAAACAATCAATCTGGGGCATCTGAGAAGCCCCAAGTGCAGAGGCTGCCCTGAGTCTTTAGAGGACAAGAAACAGAACACACGACCCAAAAGTGAGAGACAGAGCCTGGCCGGAGCAGGATGATAATGGCTCTCCTACAGAGTACTATTCCTGTAAATCTCTGACGAGAGGGGTGAGATCAACATGTAAAAATACACACACACAAAGTGGAGCTGAGGGCAGGATGGAGAACTGTCATTCTCAGCCCATGACCTCCATGGACTTGGAGAAAGACTCAGCCTGGAGATGTGTGAGGCCTCCGACCTGGAGCAGCACCCGCCCCTAAAGACCAGGCACAAATCCCAGCACACGGAGGGATCCAGACAAATACACAAGAAATGACCACAGCAGGAACTTTATTGAGCACGGAGCAAGGGTGCACACCACTCAGCACCTGCCCCTCCACCTGTCCTTCTCTCCCCACCTGCCTCTGCCCCAGCACAGCAGGTCCTCAGAATCCAAAAAGAGAACCTAACCTGCATGTTCTCTCTCTCTCTTTCTTTTCTTTTTTTTTTTTTTTTTGAGACAGAGTTTATCTCTTGTTGCCAGGCTGGAGTGCAATGGCGTGATTTCGGCTCACTGCAACCTCCACCTCCTGGTTCAAGCAATTCTCTTGCCTCAGCATCCCGAGTAGCTGGGATTACAGGCAGCTGCCACCACACCCAGCTAATTTGTGTATTTTTAGAGATGGGGTTTTCACCATGTTAGCCAGGCTGGTCTCGAATTCCTGACCTCAGGTGATCTGCCTGTCTTGGCTTCCCAAAGTGCTGGGATTACAGGCGTGAGCCACCACGCCTAGCCTCCATGTTCTCTTAATAGTTTGTAATATCTTATCACAGCTTCAAAGAAAGGATATGAGAATAATAACTCATAGAGCAAGATATCTATTTAGAGTGAGTGAGTCACAGGGGAGATCTGGGAGGGAAACACTGCAACTCTTTCATTCCCAGAAAAAGAAGGTTGATCCAGGGAAGGGGACACCGGGCCTGGATATTGGGATTATGTGGAAGGGGTTCTGGGACATCAGGGGAATGGGCCCCTCTCCCTGTATCCTTCCTGGGCTATGCTTGGGAGGAGACACAGTTTATCAGCTGTGCAGCTGGGGGAAGAGAAGTCAGGGTCCAGAGACAAGGGGAGCTGAGAACAATCTGTGTCTTGCTGGTCTGCAGAAGGCAGCTCTCAAACTGTGGAGAACAGTTTGGGATGATGAAAATGTTCTAAAATTAGATATGGTGATTTAAAAATCCAAATATGTGAAAAACCATTGAATTGTATACTTTAAATGGGTGAATGATATGTGAATTATATCTTAATAAAGTTTAAGGAAAGAAATATAATGATATGTCATGACAAATCCACTAGAATTTCTAAATTAAAATCACTGACTATTTCAAATGTTGGTGCGAATATGGACCATCAAGAGCTGTCACACACTTTGTCTAGCAGTGTGGCATCATCTCTTTGGGTAGGATATCATATACATACACCAGTAATTCCACTCTTAGGCATATAATTTTGAAAGATATATGCTCATTGTGCCAACATACATGTGCAAGAAGGCTTACAACAGCATTGTTCGTAATTTTTAAAACCTGAAAACAAATAAAATGACCACAAACAAGGATTAATTTAATGTGTGGAATTCTATGAATAATAAACATGAACGCTCTAGAGACACCTATAACAACTTAGCAAACATACATTTGAGCTAAAATAAGGTCTCATAAGAATACACATAGCACGATTCCATTTGTATCAAAAGATTCAAAATCTATATGAAGTTTGAGATAACCTATATTGTTTTAGAGATGTATGCATGGGAGTAAAGCTTTAAAGAAAGGCGTGAACAGGATTACTATGAAATCAGGATGAGGGTGAACTCTCACGACAGCAAAGGGATTGTTATTGCTATCAGGATTGGTATGGAAACTTCCGTGTGTTTTTTTTCCTGACTTTTGTTTCTTTTTCACATGGATTTTCCCTTTAAAACCATTTGTTAAAATGTAAATATAATTCAGGCACTTCACTTTTGGTTGTAACTTACACTGTAAGACTGCTAAAAAAAAATAATATTAGCTACTTACGTGTAATTGGAAAAATTAACCTTTATTCACAAAAGAGATGGGCTGCCCCCTACACCACGAATCAGAGAAGAGACCATGAATTGAAATGGGAACTTGGAATTGTCATTATTCCGTAATTATACTCAGGATCCTGTCCATGAAACATTGGAATACCACTGTCCAACCTCCTTCTGCAGTGATGGAGTGTCTATATCTGAGCTATTCATTATGGCACAGATACAGACATTCATATTCTGTGAATTCTGAGTACTTGAAATATATGGCTGGTGCAAATAAGAAACTGGCTTTTAAAATCCATTTAATTTTAATTAATTAAAGTGTAAATAGTGCCATGTGGACAAGGCAGAATTACAGTGCCAAGACCAGCTCAGTCGGGGAGACCCTAACCCAGTGGCGCTAGAGGAATTAAAGACACACACACAGAAATATGGCGTGTGGGGTGGGAAATGAGGAGTCTCACAGCCTTCATTCCAGTAAACAGTCATTGTGACCGGTTGTCCCGCTTTCCTCAGGTTTTCTTCCACCATCTGTGACAGCTTCTTGATCTGTCCCCAGGTGGGTGGCTGTGTTCAACGGGTGTTGCTCGTGACAGTTAGGGTCCTCCTCAGCATCAGTCTCGACATGGCTGCAACCAGGGGGTCCTCGGGATCCTCCTGGAATCTCTTCCTTGGCATCTGGCTCATGATAAGGTTTTAGGTGTCTTGATAGTATCCAAATTGGCTGCTGGTTTTGGCCTGGAGAAACACAAGCATAACCTCTACCCAAGTTATTATTTTACCTATGTCCCAACTTTTTGTTATTGGATCTCTTCACCAAACCAGTTGTTCTGCTCCTGTCTTTGCAGCTCGTTTCTGTAGATGCTGTTCAGCTGCTGATAACATCTGGCCTTTGGGCAGCCTCAAAAAATTTAAAGTTAATAATGCTAGATTCAGTTGTGTATGGGCTGTCTCGTAATCCCTGTTTCTCCCCCTTTTTTGTCATCAGTTGTTCATCTGTATAAATCATAACTGAGCATTTTCAATTAATTGCATGGAATGAACCATGTATAAAGAATCAGAAATCACATTAACAGGCATATCAAAAGCAGTCAGCACCTCAATTACAGCTACAAGCTCTGCTTTCTGAGCTGAAGTATAGGTTGCCTGGAAAGCTTTACCTTTTGATCCAGAATAAGAAGCTTTACCATTGCTAGACCCATCTGTGAAATAATGAAAATGCTTAGCAGGCTGCAGATTGTTTACCACAGGAATTGTAAATGCAAACCGTTCACTGTCTTGCTTAGCTAAGGGTATAGTAAAGAAAGAGTCCTTCCTGGCTGTAATGCTCCTATAGCTTGTATAACTGAATTAATGGCTCTTAAATCAGTTAACATTCTCCATTTACCTGATTTTTTCTTAATTACAAAAGCTGGAGAATTCCAAGGGGAAAGTGTTGTAGCTATGTTCTCATTTTCTAATTGTACATTAACGAAGTTCTCTAAAGTCTCCAGTTTCTCTTTACTTAGCAGCCACTGTTCTATCCAAATTGGCTTATCTGTTAACCATTTTAAAGGTATAGGTTCTGGAGGCTTAACAATGACTGCCATCAAAAATGATACCCTAAACCTTGGCGGGAACTTTGTCTCTCCACTTGAAGCATTTTTTTTCAAACCTTGCAAATTTTTTCCTAGTCCCATACCAGGGACATGCCCCATTTCATGCATCATATGTTGACTTTGAGGGCTATATAATTGCTCTGGAAGTAGAACTTGTGCTCCCCATTGTTGTAATAAATCTCTCCCCCATAAATTTATAGGTACGAAAGTTATAATTGGTTGAATAGTCCCAGGTTGTCCATCGGGCCCTTCACAATGCAAAATATAATGGCTTTGATATACTTCAGGGGCTTTACCAACTCCAACTGTTTTAAGTTGAGTGTGTTGAACTGGCCACGCAGACGGCCAGTGCTGTAGAGAAATGATTGAAATGTCCGCTCCTGTATCTACCAAATCTTTACATTTCTTTCCCTGAATAGTTATTTCACAGGTAGGACGTTTATCAGTAATTTGATTCACCCAATAAGCTGCTTTGCCTTGTTTATTTGTGCTTCCAAATCCTCCTGTTTGTTTAATTTCACTTTTCCCATTCCCACATACGGCACAATCAGGAGCTGTGCTATACACTCTCCTGGCTCTGCTTTCCAGGGAACAGAAGTAGATATAACAATTTGAATTTCCCCATTGTAATCTGAATCAATGACCCCTGTATGTATTTGTACTACTTTTAAACTTAAACTAGACCTTCCTAGAAATAATCCTATCGTTCCCGCTGGCAAGGGTCCACAGACCCCTGTTGGGACCTTTTGCAGGGTTTCCCCAGGCAGAAGGCTCACAGCTTTTGTGCAACATAAATCTACTCTGGTGCTACTGGCTGTGGCGGGGGACAGATATTGTACAAGGATGAGGGAATGGCCTGAGCCAGAAATGCCCCGGTTTGGAATGGGGCCCCGGGATGGGCCCCTCATGGTGTTTCCTGAAATCAGGTTCCCATCTTTATCAAACTTAGAGTGACACTGATTAGCCCAATGTTTTCCTTTTTTGCATTTTGGACATATTTCAGGCTCAGTAGTTTTCTTTTTTTCCCCTATATGGTGGCCTGACTTGCTGATTTTTTCTACATTGTTTTTTAGTGTGATCATGCTTCAAACAGTTAAAACAAGCTCCAGGAAATGGAGTATTTCCTTTATCCACTCTCAGTCCTGCCATTGCCTGTGCCAACAAAGTAGCTTTATGCAGATTACCTCCGATACCGTCACAGGCCTTGATATAATCAACTAAATGTGCTTTCCCTCTAATAGGTCGCAAAGCAGCCTGGCAATCGAGATTAACATTGCCAAAAGCTAATAACTGCAACACTATATCCTGAGCAGCTGAATCTGAAATCACCTTTTTAAGAGACTCCTGTCTTAAGAGATTCCAAGCTATAAAATCTGCATACAGTTCTTTTGGTCCCTGTTTTACAGCACTAAAGGAAGGGTATTGTTCTCCACCTGAAGTGATTTTTTCCCAAGCTCTAATGCACACTCCTCTAAGCTGCTCTATGGCATCATCCTGTATGACCACTTGTGCGTCTAAACCAGCCCAGCAGCCGACCCCCAAAAGTTGGTCCATGTTATATTAATTTGAGTTTGGGCCTGGGCATTGCAAGCAGCCTGAATGGAAGCTTCATCTGCCCACCAAGTTTTAAATTGTAAGAATTGAGCAGGACTTAGACAAGCTCAAATAAGAGTGTCCCCGTCAGTAGGAATCATCCGACTGGAAACAGCAACATTCTTTAACAGTCCCATTACAAAAGGAGAACCTGGTCCATACTGATTAATAGCTTGTTTAAATTATTTGAGTAATTTAAAAGGAAAAGGCTCAAATGTAGCTATAATATTTCCCTGTTGATCAGGTGGTGTATTCTAACAGGGAACTGCCAAGCCTCTATATCACCCTCTCGTCTAGCCTGCTGAACTCCTGCCTGAATAGAACTGACAGCAGTCGCTCGAGGTGCTGCTCAGTCACTGGGGCAACTACTTTTCGCCCAGTGTCCTCCAGAAAAGAAAGATCTGGAGGGTCTGGCCACTCTTTTTCTTCAAAATAATAATGAGGGGGTGCAGAAGGGTAGGGATGAACCTCTTCCTCCTGTGCCGCTTTAGCTTTAGCTGGCAAATAAACCTGCTCTGTAACCTCTTCTGTTACTTCGTCATACTCTCCTTCCTCCTCATCATCAGTGTGAAAAAGTTCCAAGGTGGAACGAACCAGAGCCCACACTTGTCCCATTGTTACCCGATGCTTCCAAGCTCCCCATCTTACTCACTACGAGGATTGCTTAAGAGTACTTGGGTGTCCTCCAGCTTAGTTCCCCATTCTCCAACTGTTGCTCTGGCGACCCTTCAACCTGGATTCGAGCCCCCACGTATGGGTGCTGCTTACTGAGACCAGCTTGGTGGGGGAGACCCTAACCCAGCAGAGCTAGAGGAATTAAAGATACACACACAGAAATATAGAGGTGTGGAGTGGGAAATCAGGGGTTTCACAGCCTTCAGAGCCAAGAGCCTTGAACAGAGATTTACCCATGTATTTATTGACAGCAAGCCAGTGATAAGCATTGTTTCTATAGATTATAGATTAACTAAAAGTATTCCTTACAGGAAACAAAGGGATGGGCTGAAATGAAGGGATGGGCTCTGGCTAGTTATCTGCAGCAGGAGCATGTCCTTAAGGCACAGATTGCTCACGCTACTGTTTGTGGTTTAAGAACACCTTTAAGTGGTTTTCCACTCTGGGTGGGCCAGGTGTTCCTTGCCCCCATTCCGGTAAACCCACAACCTTCCAGTGTGGGCATCATGGCCATCACGAACATGTCACAGTGCTGCAGAGATTTTGTTTATGGCCAGTTTTGGGGCCAGTTTATGGCCATATTTTGGGGGGCCCGTTCCCAACATTACAGAAACAATATGCAGCATCTACTATCACTATCTTTTTGTTCAGTCATCCATTATGTGAATGACAACTTCATTGTTACTAACTTTGGAAAGATCCCATTTCAAAGAAAAATGGGATTTCAGCTTCTTCAGTAGTAGATTTTCTTACACTCAGCAGCTAATAAAATATCTGAACCCCACAAAAAACCCCTGTTTATCTCTGTTATCTCTGGGTATAGAAAAATGCTGAATTCTCATTTGTATGTGAAATAAAGTGGTTTTTCAATAAGAAATTTTGCTATAAGGTAAGAATTTTATTCTAAATATAATTTCTTTCTTTCTTTCTTTCTTTCTTTCTTTCTTTCTTTCTTTCTTTCTTTCCTCCTTCCTTCCTTCCTTGTTTTTTGTTTTTGAGACAGGTTCTCACTCTGTTGCCGCGTCTGGAGTGCAGTGGTGCGATCTTGGCTCACTGCAACCTCTGCCTCCCAGGTTTAAGTGGTTCTCTTGCCTCAGCCTCCCGAGTAGCTGGGATTACAGGTGCCCACCACCATGCCTGGCTAATTTTTGAATTTTTAGTAGAGACGGGGTTTCACCATGTTGGCCAGGCTGGTCTCGAACTCTTGACCTCATTCCTAGAGCATTTTTTCCATTCATCTTTTATTAGTATTCAGATACACCTAGCAGCTGGTATGTTTTGTAGGATAGTTTTTGGTCATTCATTCTACCATGATTTAGCTTAGTATTAAAGGTTTATAGAATTTCCTTTTAGTTTGTAATTTAGAAACAAGATTGACATTTACTTCTTGTTCATATTCTCTAAGTTTTCACAACAGCTTCTCTCAGATAAGATCTCAAGGCCAGACATGGTGGCTCATGCTTGTAATCCCAGCACTTTGGGAGGCCCATATCACCTGGGGTCGGGAGTTCGAGACCAGCCTGGCCAGCATGGTGAAACCCCGTCTCTACTAAAAATACAAAAATTAGCCAGGCATGGTGACAGGTGCCTGTAGTCCCAGCTACTCAGGAGACTGAGGCAGGAGAATCGCTTGAACCCAGGAGGCGAGGTTGCAGTGAGCCGAGATCATGCCATTGCACTCCAGCCTGGCGGCAGAGTGAGACTTTGTCTTAAAAAAAAAAAAACAAAAAAAAAAAACTCCAATAATCTGTTCAAGGTTGAACTGCTAACAATAAGATTTGAAGTTAACATTTAATTAATTAATTTATTTTTTAGACTCAGGGCCTCACTCTGTTGCCCAGGCTGGTATGCAGTGGCACCATCAGAGCTTCCTGCAGCCTTGAACTCCTGGGCTTAAGGGATCCTCCCACTCAGCCTCCTGAGTAGCTGGGACTGCAGGTGTGCACCACCATGTCCAGCTTAACATTTTATTTTATCTGATAGTAGAGTGAAGCACTTGCATTACAAAAATAAAATACATACAAATTACAACAACTTTGCCAATCTAACATATGACCTCGAATGATAGTTAAATTAGGAGCCAGTCAACCACTTTCAAACATGTTTTTCAAAGTGAAATTTTAAAGGCAGTGTCATTGTTTACTTCTACTAATGCTCATAGGTTTAGCTGTGGTCCTGCTATAGAGTTTGTTAAGAAAACTTCCCTGAGTTGTTTTAAATGGTCTTATCAAAGCCAAACACTGAAATCCTATAATCATTGGAATTGGGAACAAAAGATACATTTCTAGGCTTTATTTTATTATAAATTAAAATCTTAGTGATGGTAGGATCATTTTTCCTTATGGATTTTTTCTAATATATTTAAAGCATAGATAATTGTGTTCAATCAGTTGTATTTTATGCTGAATCATTTGACCATGTGAGGAAAGCATATTTTTGGACTCTTATCCCATCTTGACCAGAGGGATCAGTAAAAACCTGGAATGAAGAAGTTCTTCATGTGCACATCTTTTTTTCTTGTGTGCACTGCCCTTCATTCACACTTCTGTGCATTCACACATTTGTGATTGCACGTTTTGGTATTGATTTAGAATCATTTATTAATTCCACAGTCAAGTTAATAAAATGGCATTGGGAATTAAAGATAAATTTTACATGCATTTTCTCAAAATTCATTACTTGATCCATTTATTCATTCTAAACCCATGTCAAATGCCATTCTTTAAACCTCATGTTTTATTAAAGTTGATTTCACTTATTAATTCAATCAAAAGCCATTGAAGTTTATAGCAAGAGGCATCAAAGAAGGCAGAATGTTTCTATCTGTTCTGGGATTAACGGGGCTAGAAAGATGGGAAGGGCAGAGGGACAAGAGGCCTCACAGAGACAGACAAGATATAAAGACACCTGCCTCCCTGGCCAGAAACCAACTTCCAGGATTCAGGATTCAGGAGTAAAGTGTCCCAATAATTAGAAGGTTTCCTGGTCTCTCTCAAATTCAGTGCTCATTTGGCCAGGGATAAGGCCCTCACACCCTTTGCTTTGAGGATCCAAGCTTAGAATGTGGCTGTCTCTGGGACATTTCATGCTAAAGAAAGCCCAGCAAGTGTAGACAAAGAGTCTAGAGGGCACCAGCCACCCTTCCATGGAACTCTGTTCAAGGCAACTCTCTGTGTTCTGTTACTTATATTGGCCGCGTCTTCAGGAATTTAGCGAAATGGCCATGTTGTCTCTGAGTGGAAGTGAGGGGAGGCCACTGGGCAGTCAGAGATTTTGAATCCCTGTTTCCTTTCCCCCCATCTCAACCAGAGGCCACTTGTGGAAGCCCAAGAAAAAAAGACACGAATGTCAGAGGTGAATCCAGGCTCATGAACCCATTGTGGTCACGGGACTGAAGCCACGTGGCCCAACAGTAATGAAGTCTATGAGGCCTTGGTAACCCCAAAGCTCTCTCCCAATTAGGAGCTGCCTCTCACTGCCATCAGGCACCCCAGGAGCTGGACATGTGGCATTCTTTGTCATGTCTGATGAGGAACTGGAGAGGTCCCAGAGCATATAGACCTTGATCGAATTGGAGCTAGAGTGGAGTCAGGCAAAACTCTGCATTGACTCAGAGGCACCTACATGTGAAATAAAGTCTCCACTCAGAGCTTTCATCAGAGCATCAGGCTCAGTAGCAATTCCTTTCTGCTGTTGCTGTATTTGCCCTGTGACAACTGGTGCTTGAAGGAAGGAGAAATCATTATGTGTGCAGGAAAGCACATGCAATTAGAAAACTGGGACATGATTCATAAGGCAGGAGGGACCCTTTTCTCTTTCGTGGTAGATGTGGGACTCCCTGTCATCTTTGTCCTGATGCCCCAAGTGCACAAGGTGAATTTTCCTGCTCTCAGTTGAGTGACCAACACTGGGAGCTGGAATTCAGAGAAACAGTGGCAGCCTCTCTCTCTCCATCCCCCATCCCAGTAAATCTAAGGCAAGGGCCTAGGGCTCTTGCACTTTATTTTCACCATGCATTTTCCTTCTCTGGTTAAGAAAATAACCAAATGGCCAGGCGTGGTGGCTCACACCTGTAATCCCAGCACTTCGGGAGGCTGAGGTGGGAGGAGCACCTGAGGTCAGGAGTTCGAGACCAGCCTGGCAAACATGATGAAACTCCATCTCTACCAAAAATGCAAAAATTAGCCAGATGTGGTGGCATGCACCTGTAATCCCAGCTACTCAGGAGGCTGAGGCATGAGGATCACTTGAACTCGGAAGGTGGAGGTTGCAGCCAGCTGAGATTGTGCCACTGCACTCCAGCCTGTGATAGAGTGAGACCCTGTCTCGACAACAACAACAACAACAACAACAAAAAAGGAAATAAAAAAAGAGAAAATAACCGAATGTGTAAAAATCAAGATTGCAATTCTGCAATTCTTGTGGCACCCAGAATACTGGACTAGACCAAGGGTGCCAGGTGCTTGTCACTGCTCCACCACTCAACGGCTGTGACCTCAGGAGAATCTCTCCAAGTCCTGGTGCTTGTTAATTCATCTGTGAGTCATGGATAAACACATCCATTCTAGTGAGAATAAATGAAAACACATTTCATCCTTACTGAGATGCAGTGAGTGTTGCCCCAGTACTAAGGGGTAAATGCAGAGAGAAACATTAGTTTAGGATTTTTTTTTTTTGAGATGGAGTTTCACTCTTGTTGCCCAGGCTGGAATGCAATTGCATGATCTCTGCTTACTGCAACCTCTCCCCCCGTGTTCAAGCAATTCACCTACCTCAGCCTCCCAAGTAGCTGGAACTATAGGCTTGTGCCACTATGCCCGGCTAATTTTTTTGTATTTTTAGTAGAGTTAGGGTTTCACCATTTTGGCCAGACTGGTCTTCAACTCCTGATCTCAGGTGATCCACCCGCCTCAGCCTCCCAAAGTGCTAGGATTACAGGTGTGAGCCACCGTGCCTGACCATCAGCTCGGGATTTTAAGAAACATCCTTAAAAGTAGGAAGAAAGCACATAATACCTGCAAAGCCCTGGGTAAAAATCCTCTTTTACTTCAGTAATGATTACAAAATAATTATTTCTCATAACTTCTAGAAAATTAGAGGAAAACTCATTCCTTCAACATCTCAAGAAACTTAAATACAGATGGTGATTATATATCAGATTGGAACCACAAGCTTTGTTCTGAGTAAAACTGAAAAGAAATGGGGATATCTCCATTTTTGAGTGGTGACCATGGGACCCAAAGTGGTTTGTAAATGACCCTTTATCATCTACACTTGTCAATTTTCAATTGATTCACTCATTTCTTAGAAATCCCTGATAATTCATAATCTTGAAAAAATTTCATGTCCAGATACTAGGCAGGGTAATATGTTTGTTTTAATTTGCTAGGGCTGCCATAACAAAGTACCACACACTGGGTGACGTAAAGAACAGAAAAATTATTGTGCCACAGTTCCAGAGGCTGGAAGTCCAAGATCTTGGTGTTGGCAGTGCACATTTCTTCTGAGGCTTCTTTCCTTGGCTTGTAGATGTGTTTTCCCTGTGTCTTTACATGGTCATTCCTCTGCATCTGTCTATGTCTAATCTTCTCTTTTTATAAGGACACTAGTCACATTGAATTAAGACCCACTCATATGACCTCATTTTACCTTAATGACCTCCTTAAAGACCTCTCCAAATGCAGTCACTTTCTCAGGTACTGGGGGTTAGGACACCAACATGCCAATTTTTGGAGAGATGCAATTTAGCCCATAACAGTCTGGATTAACCTGGAGACTCCTTTTCCTTCCTTCCTTCCTTCCTTCCTTCCTTCCTTCCTTCCTTCCTTCCTTCCTTCCTTCCTTCCTTCCTTTTTTCTTTCTTTCTTTCTTTTTCTTTCTTCTCTTTCTTTTGTTTTCTTTTCTTTTATTGAGATGGAGCCTTGTTCTGTCACCCAGGCTGGAGTGCAGTGGCACGATCTCGGCTCACTGCAACCTCCGCTTCCCAGGTTCAAGCATTTCTCCTGTCTCAGCTTCCCGAGTAGCCGGGATTACAGATGCCTGCCACCACGCCCAGCTAATTTTTGTATTTTTAGTAGAGATGGGGTTTCACCATGTTGGCCAGGCTGGTCTCATACTCCTGACCTTAGGTGATCTATTCACCTCGGCCTCCCAAAATGCTGGGATTACAGG
The DNA here is from genome assembly GCF_000001405.40 of Homo sapiens. Classification (NCBI taxonomy): domain Eukaryota; kingdom Metazoa; phylum Chordata; class Mammalia; order Primates; family Hominidae; genus Homo; species Homo sapiens. The sequence continues at coordinate 2,585,893 of NT_167247.2, forward strand.
CGCCAGCTACCGCTCCTGGCCGAGATTGCGTTTTCTAAAGAGTAAAACAGAGTAAATCTCTTTGGCTTAACTCTGTCTCTTAATACTCTGAAATTTTGTTCTTGCAGTGAGAACAAAAAAAAAAGACAGCCAAAGGTTGGTGTCACGCAGAAGGTGAGCCCTCCCTAACTCTGGCTGCCCCAAGACGCAGTGCTGTGTCATTCCTGAAAGTTTGCTCCATTCTAGTGATTCTGGCTCCAGCTTTTTCATTGGGAAGAGGATTCTCTCCCAGAGGAAAAACTTCTCCTGCTATGCAGGCTTATTTTCTTTATATTTGTAGGACAAAAAAGTTGATGTAATAAAAAGAATATATTTGTGAAATTTTTGTGGTAATCATTTTGATATCCTTATCAATACCCCATATTGTGATGAACATGTTGGCTTCATTTTGGCAGAAGGGACATGACACTGGACATTTTGAGCCACAATTTCTCTGGGCCTTTCCATGGGATTCAGTTTCTGCCCTGGTAGGTGAAGGGAGAGCTCTTGGTGTAGGGTTTGGTCTTTATAATAAACTATGCTTTTGGGGTAGCAGGTTTATCTCTGGAAGCATGAAGCTTAGTCAGGAGTGCGACCCTCCTCCCCATTCAAAAGGTCAAGGTAGAGCAGGTTCTTGTTCAGGGCGCAGTGAGCGAGAGAAGGGAAAGTGACAGAGCATTCTTTCACCTTTTTGTGACATGCATGCATCCAAGTCTCTGGTGTTTTAAATAACTGAAACTGAGACCTAGATCCACTTATCTGTAAAGTAGAACTGTGGAGAAGGAAGCATATCATCCCCGCCACTGGAGAGATCCCTGAAGAGAGATTTGTGAGCCCCCATTTTATCGAAAATGACACAAAATTTCATCAAAATAAAGTGAAATTGTGGCTGTAGATGGGGTTTTATTTAGAGCTTTGACTCCGCATCTGCTTCCTAAGACATGGTCCTTCCCCAGGATACTACAGAATCACAGGGCTTAGACTGGAGGGGTAAGGCGTGATGGTGTTCTTCCTTTCTGGCCGATAGGATGTTTTGGATTGTATGTATTTTCCAAAGACGGCTGCAGAAGTATCTTCCATCACACTTTGTTTTCTTTAGTTTGATCCACCACTCCCTCATCAAGAGGTAAGTTCTTTCCATCCCCTTAAACATGAGCAGATCTGATATCTGCGTTAGCCAATAAAATAGGGCAGAAACGTGGTTGTGTCAGTTCTGGGCACTGCTGTTAACCATCCTGCCTGCATCTGGTTCCTTCCACTTCAATCCCTGAACCATGTTAAACTCCAAGGCCATCATCTGAGCCCAGCCAACACATAGAACCCTATGAGAGATCATTAAAAATTCTTAGTTACTATTTTCAGGAATATCCTTTTCCATCCTTTCATTTTCAACTTGTATGTGTCCTTAGATCCAAAGTGAGTATCTTGTAGCCAGCATATGGTTAGAATCTTTTTATTATATCCATTGTGATAATCTCAATTCTGATTGGGGAGTTTAATCCATTACATTTAAAGTAATTACTGATGAAGAAGGACTTACCTCTGTAATTGTGATGGTTTTATGCATGTCTTATAGCTGTTTCGTCCCTTATCTTCCTCATTCCAACCTTCCTTTGTGTTTAGTCGATTTTTTTCTAGTGATATGTTTTAATTGCCTTCTCACTTTCTTTTGTGTATATTTTATGTATATTTTCTTTGTGATTACTATGGTATTGCACATAACAATACAACTATAACAATTTTGAATTGAAACCAGTATGAAACTCTGCTTCTTTACATCTTTTTCCACCCCTCATTTTACATTATTGATGTCACAAATTACTCCTCTGCAGGCTAGCAGGCTGGAAAGTCACAATGTTGCAGTCTTCAGTCTAAAATTTGTAAACCAGGCTGGCAGATTGGAAATCTAAACTGTAGTTGCTACTGTCATCTTGAGGCAGAATTTTTTCTTCTTTGAGAAGCCTCACACTTTGCCCAAAGGCCTTCAACTGATTCAAAAAGTCCCGCCCACATTTTTGAGGGTAATTTCTTTTTCATAAAATCAACTGACATAAGATTTTAACCACAAGTGCAAAACACCATCATAGCAACATATAAATTAGTGTTTGATTAAATAACTAGACACTATGGTTTAGTAAAATTGACACATAATACCCACCACCCTAGTCCATGCTTGTGAACTTGGCACCCATTAACGTTTTCTTAAACCATACTTAGTCTCCAAATAAAAACAATTATAAAGTCATACTTTTGCTAAAGATGATACAGCTATCTTGCATCCATCTAAAAACACTAACCATTTCCTCAGAAAAAAATTCAAACTCAATGCATGATAAGCATTTTTCTCTTCGATATACTGTAACCTAAACACCATGTTTAAAAAAAGTTGAACCATCATTAATAAAAGGGAACTATTATTAGCACATTTTATGTTTTATTACAAGATGATAAGGAAAAGATGAAAACAAAGGTATTTGCTTAGTACATGTATGGGTACATACACACAGACATAAATATCATTGTAAAAACATAAGGAAGAAATGCTTATAACATTTACTGTCTTTATTTCTGCAACTGATCACATGGTTACAGCTGGTTATTTATTTATTTATTTACTTATTTATTTATTTGATACAGGGTCTTGTTCTGTTGCCCAGGCTGGAGTGCAGTGGCATTACCTTGGCTCACTGCAAACTCCACCTCCTGGGCACAAGTGATCCTTCTACCTCAACCTCCTAAGTAGCTGGGACTGCAAGCACACCACCAAGTCTGACTAATTTTTTGTATGTATTTTCAGTAGAGATGGAATTTCAGCATGTTGCCCAGGTTGGTCTCACATTCCTCAACTTAAGGAATCCACCTGCCTCAGCCTCCCAAAGTGCTGGGGTTATAGGCATGAGCCACTGTGCTGGCCACAACTAGTGTAAATAGCTTTCTTTCACTAACCATCCCATAGTCCCACTGCCTTCAGCAAGTCCGTCAGCTGATCAGGTTTCTTTTCCTGCTTGGGTGACTCATACCTTCATTCCTGAAGGGCATGGGTCATTAGTAGTCCTGCCTGACTTGGGTTGTTGTAGTTTTTATTGACTTTAATTATAGAGCAGAGTATTACTAAGAGATGCTCTAAAAGATCTCCTGTATTTCAAACATAGTCTTATTTACTGCCATTGTGTAGTAGCAGACCAATTTCCCCCTGATGACCAGGACCAATCACCCCAGAAAGTGCAGTAACTCCTTCCTTTGTCTGTTGATTCAGTAACATGAGGAGCTGAAGGGCCCGGGTGGGTGTCTTAGCTTCCAGCTCAATGGAATAATTTCTGTGTCTCCTGAGGGAGTATTCCTCCCTTTGGTAAACCTCTAGATCCTGATCCTATTCCTCGTGACTGGGCAAGACCTCCCAACCAGGGTCTCCAGTACCTCCTACAGGTGTGTTTGGGCTGGCAACAGGTCTGTACTTTCCTGAGACAGAGCTCCCAAAGGAAAAGGCAGACTACCATCTTTGCTGTTATGTAGCTTTCACTGGTGATATCTCCAGTTACTGGAAAATCTGAGGCAACTGGGGACTGGAGCAGGCCCTCAGCAAACTGCAGTAGCCCTACAGAAAAGTGGCCAGACTGTTGAAAGAGAAAACAAAAGAAGAGAAAAACAAAACCCATTCATAGATCAGCAACCTCAAAGAATGAAGGTAGATAAGCCCACTAAGATGAGAAAGAATCAGCACAACAATGCTGAAAACTCAAAAAGCCAGCAAGGGTTTGGAACCAGGCTAAAGCTGAGATGACTGAAAGAGCAGAAGTAGAATTCAGAATATGGAGAGGGAAGAAGTTCACTGTGCTAAAGGAGTACAGTGTGACCCAATCCAAGGAAGCTAAAAATAATGATAAAACATTGCAGGAGCTGACAGACAAAATAGCCAGTATTATAGAAGAATGAAACCAACCTGATAAAGCTGAAAAACACACTAAAAGAATTTCATAGTGCACTCACAAGTATTAACAGCAGAATAGAACAAGTGGAGGAAAGACTCTCAGTGCTTGAAGACCAGCTTTCTAAAATAAGACAGGAAGACAAGAATAGAGAAAACAGAATGAAAAGGAACAAACAAAACCTCTGAGAAACATCAGATTATGTAAAGAAACTGAATCCATGAATTATTGGTATACCTGAAAGAGATGGGAATAATGGAATCAATTTGGAACACACTTCAAGATATCATCCATGAGAACTTTCCCAACCTAGCTAGACAGACCAACATTCAAATTCAGAAATGCAGAGGACACTAGTAAGTTACTCCATGAGAAGATCATCCCCAAGATACAATCATCAGATTCTCCATGGTTGAAATGAAAGAAAGAACGTTAAGGGCAGCCAGAGAGAAAGGCCAGGTCACCTACAAAGGGAAGCCCATTAGACTAACAGTGGACCTCCAAGTGGAAACCCTACACACCAGAAGAGATTGAGGGCCAGTATTGAACATTGTTAAAGAAAAGAATTTCCAACCCACAATTTCATATCCAGCCAAACTAAGCTTCATAAGCAAAAAAGAAATAAAATTCTTTTCAGACAAACAAATGCCAAGGGAATTCATTACCACCAGACCTGCATTACAAGAACTCCTAAAAGAAGCACTAAATATGGAAAGGAAAGACAGTTACCAGCCACTACAAAAACACGCTGAAGTACATAGACCAGTGACGCAATAAAGCAACCACATAAGCAAGTCTGCAAAGTAACCAGCTAACACCATGATGACAGGATCAAATCCATACATATCAATACTAACCTTAAATGTAAATGGGCTAAATGCCACATTTAAAAGACACAGAAGGGCAAGCTGGATAAAGAACCAAGACCTATCAGTATGCTGCCTACAATACACTCATCTTACATTCAATGACACACATAGGCACAAAATAAAGAGATGGAGGAAAATTTTCCAAGCAAATGGAAAGCGGAAGAAAGCCAGGGTTGCAATCCTAGTTTCTGACAACACAGACTTTAAACCAAGAAAGATAAAAAAAGATAAAGGTGGGCATTACATAATGGTAAAGGGTTCAATTCAATGAAGAGATCTAACTATCCTAAATATATATGCATCCAATAGAGGAACACCCAGATTTATAAGGCAGGTTCTTAGAGACCGTCAAAGAGATTTAGAACCTCACACAGTAGAAGTGGTGGACTTTAATACCCCACTGACAATATTAGACAGATCATCAAGACAGAAAATTAACAAAGATATTCAGGACCTGAATTCAGCCCTGGAGCAAATGGACCTGATAGATATTTACAGAACTCCAGACCCCAGAACAACAGAATATACATTTTTCTCATTGCTACATGGCACTTACCCTAAAATCAATCACGCAATCAGAAGTAAAACACTCCTCAGCAAATGCAAAAGAACTGAAATCATAACAAATAGTCTCTCAGACTACAGTGCAATCAAATTCAAAATCAAGAATAAGAAATTCACTAAAACCATATAATTACTTAGAAATTAAATAACCTGTTCTTGAATGACTTTTAGTAAATAATGAAATTCAGGTAGAAATCAAGAAGTTCTTTGAAACTAATGAGAAAAAAGATACAATGTACCAGAACCTCTGGGAAACAGCTAAGGCAGTGTTAAGAGGGAAATTTATAGCAGTAAATGCCCACATCAAAAAGTTAGAAAGATCTCAAGTCAACAACCTAAAATCAAACCTAAAAGAACTTAAGAATGAAGAGCAAACATATCCCGAAGCTAGCAGAAGACAAGAAATAACAAAAAAAATTAACAAAAGTATTGTCTCCTGAAGGAGACAGAGACACAAAAAACCATTTGAAGGATCAATAAATTCAGGAGGTTTTTTAAAAGAAATTAATAAAATAGACCACTAGCTAAGCTAATAAAGAAGAAAAGAGAGAAAATTCCAATAAACACAATCAGAAACAATAAGAGGAACATTACCACTGACCCCACAGAAATACAAGAAACCACCAGAAAATATTATGAACACTTCTATGCGCATAAACTAGAAAATCTAGAAGAAATGGATAAATTCCTGGACACATACACCGCCCCCAAGACTGAACCAGGAAGAAATGCAATCTCTGAAAAAATAATGAGTTCTGAACTTGAGGCAGTAATGAAGAGCCTACCAAAAAAAAAAAAAAAAGTGCAGGACCAGATGATTGACAGGTGAATTCTACTGGATGTACAAAGAAGAGATGGTACCATTCCTATTGAAACTATTCCCAAAAAATGAGGAGGAGAGACTCCTCCCTAACTCATTCTATTAGGCCAGCATCATCCTGATACCAAAATGTGGCAGAGATACAACAACAACAAACAAGAGAAAACATCAGGCCAGTATTCTTGATGAACATTAATGCAAAAATCTCCAACAAAATGCTGGCAAACCGAATCCTGCAGCACATCAAAAACCTTATCCACCACAATCAAGTAGGCTTCATCGCCAGGATGCAAGGTTAGTTCAACATATGCAAATCAATAAATGTGATTCATCACGTAAACAGAACTAAAGACAAAAACTACATGATTGTCTCAGTTGATGAAGAAAAGGCTTTTGATAAAATTCAAACTCTATTCATGTTTTTAAAAAAACTCTCAATAAACTAGGTGTTCAAGGAATATACCTCAAAACAATAAAAGCCATCTATGACAAACCCACAGCCAACTTCATACTGAATGGGCAAAACTAGAAGCATTCTCCTTGAAATCAGCACAAGACAAGGATGCCCTCTCTCACTGCTCCTGTTCAACACAGTATCGGAAATTCTGACCAGGGCAATCAGGCAAGTGAAATTAAAAAAAAAAAAAAAAAAAAAAGAAGGATGTTCAAATAGGACGAGAGGAATTCAAATGATTCCTGTTTGCAGATGACATGATTCTATAACTAGAAAAACCCATAGCCTCAGTCCAAAAGCTTCTTAAGCTGATAAACAACTTCAGCAAATTCTCAAGATACAAAATCAATGTGCAAAAATTACTAGCATTTCTACACACTGACAACAGGCAAGCCAAGAGCCAAAGCAGGAATGAACTCCCACTCACAATTGCCACAAAAAGAATACAATACCTAGGAATAATGCTAATTTGGGAGGTAAAAGATGTCTGCAAGGAGAACTACTGGTCCCAAAAAGTGTGCATTAATGTTAGCAGTAGCTATGATAGGCTGGGTGGAATGCCCATAGGTGGTGTTTGCAGGTAGGTGACAGCTAAGGTGATAGCACCCAACCTCGGTTACCCAGGAGGAGTTCTCAGGTGTCCACAGTGGTGGATTGGGTTGAGCAATTCCCAGGACCCTGGGCTGTGTTCTCTGTCTCAGTGGAAAAAGGAAATGAAGCTGTCTTTTCATCACTAAATGCTGTGCCAACTAGTCCCTTAATTTTCTTTTTGCCTGAAGGACTGAAACATTTATTATAGTTTAGATCTGCTAGTTATAACTTTTTTCACTCCCTATATAACTAAAATCTATTTTTCAATAGCTATATTCATGGTATGTTAATTGGTTAATTAGTTTGATTTAATCATTACACATGGTATACATATATCAGTACATCACACAACATCTCATGAATGTATTATGATTTGTCAATTTAAATTATACATATATATGTTTTAGAAAGGTATTATTTTCTGGGAATAGAATCTAGTTTCACAGTATTTTCCTTTTAGGACTTTAAAGATGTTGCTCATCTGTCTTCTCATTTGCATTGTTTCCAGTGAAATAACGGCTGTCATCTTTATTATTATTCTCATGTCTTTTTTTTTACTTTCTGCTTATTCATTTTTCTCTCCTTCTGTTTTCAACAAATACATGTTTTTTTCACCCACAGTTATAGAATGAACTTGAGCAACAATCTATAGGAATGGCTTTTTGACTGTTGGTTGAAAATTTTTAGAAACAGTTGTTTGTTCCTTGTTTTATTAGGACAAAGGCTAATTTCCTCAGAATATTCTTAAATTGAAGAATGTCATAATTAATTTTATTTGTCATCTTGGCTGAACCACAGTGCCCAGATAGGTGATCAAGCATTATTCTGGATGATTTGTGAGAATGTTTCTTGGATAACATTAATGCAAAATAACTAGACTTTGAGTAAAGTAGATTGATCTCTATAATGTGGGTGGGCTTCATTCAATTCATTGAAGGTGTAAATTGAACAAAACATTGACCTTCTCTGAGCAAGATGGAACTCTGCAGCAGACAGCGCTGGGATTTGAACTGCAATATCCGTCAACTGATCTCAAACAGCTGGTTGGTTTGTGTACAGCATTTGGAAGATGAATGGACAACATCCTGTTTGGAAGTCCACCACTTTGATCGAAGAAGATAAAAACAGAACAACTCTTGTGGGCTGAATTGCAGGGTGTTTCTCAGCAGTAGTGGAAGAATTGAACAATAATAAAGCTCCTATGTTTTAGTTTTTATTGACTTACAGGCAGTGACTAATGGCCTGGCCATATAATTAATCAGGAAAGCAAAGGAAAACTTGCTGATGAAAAGAGTGCCCAAATGAGACACAGTCCTATGGAAATCACGATGGTAATTTGAGAGGTTCATTAATGTAAGACACGTTGATGCCTGATATAGAGTGGATGTTGTTCTTGCCCGAATCTCATGTTGGATGGAATCCCCAGCATTAGAGGTGGGACCTGCAGGGAGGTGATTGGATCACGGGGGCAGTTTCTCATGAATGGTTTAGCACCGTCCCCTCAGTGCCCATCAATGCCCATCAGAATAACTCCCTTCCAGGTTTGGAAGGTGATTGAAATAAACAAGCATTTATCGCCAAGTGTTTGCCAGGTGCACCTGTAATTCCAGCTATGACAACAGCTGAGGCAGAAGGATATCTTGAGTCCAGGAGTTAGAGTTTGGCCTGAGCAGCACTTGAGTCCAGCCAGAGAAAGATATCAAGACCACATCTAAAAAAAATCCACATTTGCTTGTGGTGATCACCTGGGTCCATGAAATAAGTAGACACTGGGGCTGTAGCAATGCAGAGAGAGGTGGAATCAAGGCATATTCCTCTTGCATTCCCCACATCACAGGCACAAAATACATATAAGTGTTTTCTTTAACAAAAAAAAGAGAGAGAGACAGAGATAGCATATGGCTATGTGGCAGATTCTTTTATGGGAAGATCTTGAAAATACAGAGCTGGCAAGTTACACTGATACCAGTAGCCCCAGGAAGCAGCAAATGGGTCTTGGCAGCAATAGATACGCACCCTGGAGCTGGGCATTGCTCAGCTGCTGGTAGATGTGTTACCAAACAGAACTGGAGTCCACTCACCTGGGGCAGTAAAAACAAACATCCATACTGAGATTTTGTAGTGAGATAAAGGAGGGCATTTATTTGTAGGGTGCCAAGCAAGGAGAATCAGCCAGCTCACAGTTAAGACCCAACCTCCTCAATGGCTCACAAGCAAGGTTTCTTAAAGATAGGGGTAAATTTCAGGAAAGCAGAGTTACAGGCAACATCATAAATCAATGCATAGAAGTTACACACTGGTTTGGCCTTAAAAGGAGGAATATCCTGATGAGGGAGCTTACAAGTCGTAGATAGAGATAAAGATTCTCTGATTTGTGATTCATAAGGAAGCAAAGCTTCCTTACACAGTTGGGGGCAGTAGAGAGGAATGTTCAGGCCTGGCCTGTGGGCTTTACTCTCTCCAGGCCCCTCAGGAAGAAATTTAGAACAAAGAACAGTGGTCAGAGTTCAGTCCTCAGTTTCCCCTTATCTGAGGTCTTCCTGTCAGTGGATCTATTAGGTGGGAATCTGAGTTTCTGAAAAACAACTCAGGGACATATATTAAGATGTTCTCTTTAGTTTCCATAGAGAATCCAACATCTTGTGACTCTAACTTCCTTGGCTATCGTTTTAAGCTATCATTACCTTCTTGTTTATAAGGTCACTCACTTAATTTTTAGGGCTGGCTAGGTGCCTGGAATTTCTTTTGAAGGAACTGAAGGTTTTTCTTTATTTCCATGTTGGGAGGCCCTGGCAGGCTTCTAAGAGAGGTCCCTGCTTTATCTCAGATGCAAATGCTCGGAGTGCTACTAAGAGCTTGAATGGGAGGTACTGCAACCATGTGGACCACTGAGTCACATTTCTTTACACCAGAAAATGCGCTTGCTCAAAATGTCAGAAAGACATCCTTCTCAGAGGAAGAGTTCCATAGAGAATTAAAATATTCCATTGAAACATTGGTTGTATAAAGCAAGAGTGGGGAAACAAGCATGAAGGGTGGGCTTACACACCTTCATGAGTGTGCTTACACTTGATATGAAAGTATCCTCTCTTTTCCTTGTGGATCAGGGGAAGGTACTGGTGTGATCTATATACAATCCTTCCCAAGGTGGGAGGACACTGGAATGATGACTGTACTTTACCTCAACTTGCTTTTCTCATACCTGATGCAGTGGTCTCAGGACTAGGGATGCAAATAAAAGTCCAGAAACAGGAATTATTCCTAAGCAAGAAACTGTAAATATATTTTGTGTCCATTATGTAATGATTCCTAAGGGTCTGGAGAAGTAGGTCGTGCCTTCAGTGCATCTGGCAAAGCTGGGGTTAACACTGAATGCAGCTGTATTGCCTGGGGTCAGCTAGCCAACCAGTTCTCTACTGCATAACCCTACCCTCTATGAACTGGAATGGATGATGCAAGACAATTGCTAGAACAGTATTGGTCCGTGCAGTCTAGGTCAGCACAGCAGCAGAACCTCATGTCCCTTCCATAACTAGAAATGTTTGGTATAAATGAAGAGAAGGAGAAATAGTAGCTGAGGGTAAATGAATGAATAAATGGGTTATGCAATGAGGAAAATCCAATGTTACATGAACTACTCAAAAGAGATATAAGCAAGAGATGATATTGTCTCTTAACTCAATTTTACCAAATGCCTGAACGGGTGCAGCCTTATGTTGCTGAGACTACTTCTGTTTTTGGGCTGCACCGGGATAATTTTTTTTTATTATACTTTAAGTTCTAGGGTACATGTGCACAACATGCAGGTTTGTTACCTATGTGTACATGTGCCATGTTGGTGTGCTGCACCCATTAACTCGTCATTTGCATTAGGTATTTCTCCTAATGCTATCCCTCCCCCCTGTCCCCACCCCATGACAGGCCCTGGTGTGTGATATTCCCCACCCTGAGTTCAAGTGTTCTGATTGTTCAATTCCCACCTATGGGTGAGAACATGCGGTGTTTGGTTTTCTGTCCTTGTGATAGTTTGCTCAGAATGATGGTTTCCAGCTTCATCCACATCCCTGCAAAGGACATGAACTCATCCTTTTTTATGGCTGCATAGTATTCCATGGTGTATTTGTGACACATTTTCTTTTTTTCTTTTTTCTTTTTGAGATGGAGTCTCGCTCTGTTGCCCAGGCTGGAGTGCAGTGGTGCGATCTCGCTCACTGCAAGCTCTGCCTCCTGGGTTCATGCCATTCTCCTGCCTCAGCCTCCCAAGTAGCTGGGACTATAGGCACCCGCCACCATGACCAGCTAATTTTTTTGTATTTTTAGTACAGACGGGTTTTCACTGTATTAGGCAGGATGGTCTTGATCTCCTGACCTCGTGATCCACCCACCTCAGCCTCCCAAAGTGCTGGGATTACAGGTATGAGCCACTGCACCCGGTTTATGTGCCACATTTTCTTAATCCAGTCTATCCCTGATGGACATTTGGGTTGGTTCCAAGTATTTTCTATTGTGAATAGTGCAATAAACATACATGTGCATTTATAGTAGCATGATTTATAATCCTTTGGGTATATACCCAGTAATGGGATGGCTGGGTCAAATGGTATTTCTAGTTCTAGATCCTTGAGGAATTGCCACACTGTCTTCCACAATGGTTGAACTAGCTTACACTCCCACCAACAGTGTAAAAGTGTTCCTATTTCTCCACATGCTCTCCAGCACCTGTGGTTTCCTGACTTTTTAATGATTGCCATTCTAACTGGTGTGAGATAGTATCTCCTTTTGGTTTTGATTTGCATTTCTTTGATGACCAGTGATGATGAGCATTTTTTCATGTGTCTGTTGGCTGCATAGATGTCTTCTTTTGAGAAGTGTCTGTTCATATCCTTTGCCCACTTTTTGATGGGGTTGTTTGATTTTTTCTTGTAAATTTGTTTAAGTTCTTTGTAGATTCTGGATATTAGTCCTTTGTCAGATGGGTAGATTACAAAAATTTTCTCCCATTCTGTAGGTTGCCTGTTCACTCTGATGGTAGTTTCTTTTGCTGTGCAGAAGCTCTTTAGTTTAATTAAATCCCATTTGTCAATTTTGGCTTTTGTTGCTATTGCTTTTGGTGTTTCAGTCATGAAGTCCTTGCCCATGTCTATGTCCTGAATGGTATTGCCTAGGTTTTCTTCTAGGGTTTTTATGATTTTAGGTCGAACATTTAAGTCTTTAATCCATCTTGAATTAATTTTTGTATAAGGTCTAAGGAAGGGATCCAGTTTCAGCTTTCTACTATGGCTAGCCAGTTTTCCCAGCACCATTTATTAAATAGGGAATCCTTTCCCCATTTCTTGTTTTTGTCAGGTTTGTCAAAGATCAGATAGTTGTAGATGTGTGATATTATTTCTGAGGGCTCTGTTCTGTTCCATTGGTCTATATCTCTGTTTTGGTTCCAGTACCATGCTGTTTTTGTTACTGTAGCCTTGTAATATAGTTTGAAGTCAGGTAGCGTGATGCCTCCAGCTTTGTTCTTTTGGCTTAGGATTGTCTTGGCAATGCAGGCTCTTTTTTGGTTCCATATGAACTTTAAAGTAGTTTTTTCCAATTCTGTGAAGAAAGTCATTGGTAGCTTGATGGGGATGGCATTAAATCTATAAATTACCTTGGGCAGTATGGCCATTTTCACGACATTGATTCTTCCTATTCATGAGCATGGAATGTTCTTCCATTTGTTTATGTCCTCTTTTATTTCGTTGAGTAGTGGTTTGTAGTTCTCCTTGAAGAGGTCCTTCACATCCCTTGTAAGTTGGATTCCTAGGTATTTTATTCTCTTTGAAGCAATTGTGAATGGGAGTTCACTCATGATTTGGCTCTCTGTTTGTCTGTTATTGGTGTATAGGAATACTTGTGATTTTTGCACATGGATTTTGTATCCTGAGACTTTGCTGAAGTTGCTTATCAGCTTAAGGAGATTTTGGGCTGAGATGATGGGGTTTTCTAAACATCCAATCATGTCATCTGCAAACAGGGACAATTTGACTTCCTCTTTTCCTAATTGAATACCCTTTATTTCTTTCTCTTGTCTGATTGCCCTGGCCAGAATTTCCAACACTATGTTGAGTAGGAGTGGTGAGAGAGGGCATCCCTGTCTTGTGCCAGTTTTCAAAGGGAATGCTTCCAGTTTTTGCCCATTCAGTATGATATTGGCTGTGGGTTTGTCATAAATAGCTCTTATTATTTTGAGATACGTCCCATCAATACCTAGTTTATTGAGAGTTTTTGGCATGAAGGGCTGTGGAATTTTGTTGAAGGTCTTTTTGGCATCTATTGAAATAATCATGTGGTTTTTGTCTTTGGTTCTGTTTATATGCTGGATTATGTTTATTGATTTGTGTATGTTGAACCAGCCTTGCATCCCAGGGATGAAGCCCACTTGATCATGGTGGATAAGCTTTTTGATGTGCTGCTGGATTCGGTTTGCCAGTGTTTTACTGAGGATTTTTGCATCCATGTTCATCAGGGATATTGGTCTAAAATTCTCTTTTTTTTGTTGTGTCTCTGCCAGGCTTTGGTATCAGGATGATGCCAACCTCATAAAATAAGTTAGGGAGGATTCCCTCTTTTTCTATTGATTGGAATAATTTCAGAAGGAATGGTACCAGCTCCTCTTTGTACCTCTGTTAGAATTTGGCTGTGAATCCATCTGGTCCTGGACTTTTTTTGGTTGGTAGGCTATTAATTATTGCCTCAATTTCAGAGCCTATTATTGGTCTATTCAGGGATTCAACTTCTTCCTGGTTTAGTCTTGGGAGGGTGTATGTGTCCAGGAATTTATCCATTTCTTCTAGATTTTCTAGATTATTTGCATAGAGATGTTTATAGTATTCTCTGATGGTAGTTTGTATTTCTGTGGGATTGGTGGTGATATCCCCTTTATCATTTTTTATTGTGTCTATTTGATTCTTCTCTCTTTTCTTCTTTATTAGTCTTGCTAACGGTCTATCAATTTTGTTGATCTTTCCAAAAAAACCAGCTGCTGGATTCATTGATTTTTTGAAGGGTTTTTTGTGTCTCTATCTTCTTCAGTTCTGCTCTAATCTTAGTTATTTCTTGTCTCCTGCTAGCTTTTGAATGTGTTTGCTCTTGCTTCTCCAGTTCTTTTAATTGTGATGTTAGGCTGTCGATTTTAGATCTTTCCTGCTTTTTCTTGCAGGCATTTAGTGCTACAAATTTCCCTCTACACACTGCTTTAAATGTGTCCCAGAGATTCTGGTATGTTGTGTCTTTGTTCTCATTGGTTTCAAAGAACATCTTTATTTCTACCTTCATTTCGTTATGTACCCAGTAGTCATTCAGGAGCAGGTTGTTCAGTTTCCATGTAGTTGAGTGGTTTTGAGTGAGTTTCTTAATCCTGAGTTCTAATTTGATTGCACTGTGGTCTGAGAGACAGTTTGTTATAATTTCTATTCTTTTACATTTGCTGAGGAGTGCTTTACTTCCAACTATGTGGTCAATTTTGGAATAAGTGTGATATGGTGCTGAGAAGAAGGTATTTTCTGTTGATTTGGGGTGGAGAGTTCTGTCGATGTCTATTAGGTCTGCCTGGTGCAGAGCTGAGTTCAAGTCCTGGATATCCTTGTTAACTTTCTGTCTCGTTGATCTGTCTAATGTTGACAGTGGGGTGTTAAAGTCTCCCATTATTATTGTGTGGGAGTCTAAGTCTTTTTGTAGTTCTGTAAGGACTTGCTTTATGAATCTGGGTGCTCCTGTATTGGGTGCATATATATTTAGGATAGTTAGCTCTTCTTGTTGAATTGATTCCTTTACCATTACGTAATGGCCTTCTTTGTCTCTTTTGATCTTTGTTGGTTTAAAGTCTGTTTTATCAGAGACTAGGATTGCAACCCCTGCTTTTTTTGTTTTCCATTTGCCTGGTAGATCTTCCTCCATTCCTTTATTTTGAGCCTATGTGTGTCTCTGCACGTGAGATGGGTTTCCTGAATACAGCACACTGATGGGTCTTGACTCTTTATCCAATTTGCCAGTCTGTGTCTTCTAATTGGGGCATTTAGCCCATTTACATTTAAGGTTAATATTGTTATGTGTGAATTTGACCCTATCGTTATGATGTTAGCTGGTTATTTTGCCCGTTAGTTGATGCAGTTTCTTCCTAGCATCGATAGTCTTTACAATTTGGCATATTTTTGCAGTGGTTGGTACTGGTTGTTCCTTTCCATGTTAGTGCTTCCTTCAGGAGCTCTTGTAAGGCAGGCCTGGTGGTGACAAAACCTCTCAGCATTTGCTTGTCTGTAAAGGCTCTTATTTCTCCTTCACTTATGAAGCTTAGTTTGGCTGGTTATGAAATTCTGGGTTGAAAATTCTTTTCTTTAAGAATGTTGAATATTGGCCCCCACTCGCTTCTGGCTTGTAGAGTTTCTGCCAAGAGATCCACTGTTAGTCTGATGGGCTTCCCTTTGTGGGTAACCTGACCTTTCTCTCTGGCTGCCCTTAACATTTTTTCCCTCATTTCAACCTTATTGAATCTGACAATTATGTGTCTTTGGGTTGCTCTTCTTGAGGAGTATCTTTGTGGCGTTCTCTGTATTTCACGAATTTGAATGTTGGCCTGCCTTGCTAGGTTGGGGAAGTTCTCCTGGATAATATCCTGAAAAGTGTTTTCCAACTTGGTTCCATTCTCTCTGTCATTTTCAGGTACACCAATCAAATGTAGATTTGGTCTTTTCACATAGTCCCATATTTCTTGGAGGCTTTGTTCATTTCTTTTTACTCTTTTTTCTCTCAACTTCTCTGCTTGCTTCATTTCATTCATTTGATCTTCAATCACCGATACCCTTTCTTCCACTTGATCGAATTGGTTACTGAAGCTTGTGCATGCGTCATGTAGTTCTCATGCCATGGTTTTCAGCTCCATCAGGTCATTTAAGTTCTTCTCTATGCTGTTTATTTTAGCTAACTATTCATCTAATCTTTTTTCAAGGTTTTTAGCTTCCTTGCGATGGGTTCGAACATCCTCCTTTAGCTCAGAGAAGTTTGTTATTACCAATCTTCTGAAGTCTACTTCTGTCAACTTGTCAAAGTCATTCTCCATCCAGCTTTGTTCCATTGCTAGGGAGGAGTTGCGATCTTTTGGAGGAGAACAGGTGCTCTGATTTTTAGAATTTTTAGCTTTTCTGCTCTGGTTTCTCCCCATCTTTGTGGTTTTATCCACCTTTGGTCTTTGATGATGGTGACCTACAGATGGGGTTTTGGTGTAGATGTCCCTTTTGTTGATGTTATTCCTTCTGTTTGTTAGTTTTCATTCTAACAGTCGGGACCCTCAGCTGCAGGTCTATTGGAGTTTGCTGGAGGTCCACTCCAGACCCTGTTTGCCTGGGTAACACTAGCAGAGGCTTCAGAACAGCAAATATTGCAGAACAGCAAATGTTGCTGCCTGATCCTTCCTCTGGAAGTTTCGTCTCAGAGGGGCACCCGGCCGTATGAGGTGTCATTCGGTCCCTACTGGGAGGTGTCTCCCAGTTAGGCTACTCAGAGGTCAGCGACCCACTTGAGGAGGCACTCTGTCCGTTCTCAGATCTCAAACTCCATGCTGGCAGAACCACTGCTCTCTTCAAAGCTGTCAGACTGGGACATTTAAGTCTGCAGAAGTTTCTGCTGCCTTTTGTTCAGCTATGCCCTGCCCCCAGAGGTGGAGTCTACAGAGGCAGACAGGCCTTGTTGAGCTGCAGTGGGCTCCACCTAGTTTGAGCTTCCTGCCACTTTGTTTACCTAGTCAAGCCTCAGCAATGGCAGACGCCCCTCCCCCAGCCTCACTGTCACCTCCCAGTTCAATTTTGGACTGCTGTGCTAGCAGTGAGCAACGCTCCATGGGTGTGAGACCCACTGAGCCAGGAATGGGATATAATCTCCTGGTGTGCCATTCACTACAACTGTTGGAAAAGCACAGTATTAGGGTGGGAGTGTCCCGATTTTCCAGGTACCATCTCTCATGGCTTCCCTTGGCTAGGAAAGGGAATTCTCCGAGCCCTTGTGCTTCCCTGGTGAGGCAATGCCTTGCCCTGCTTCAGCTCACATTCTGTGGGCAACACCCACTGTGTGACAAGTCCCAATGAGATGAACCCAGTACCTCAGTTGGAAATGCAGAAATCACCCGTCTTCTGCACTGCTCACGCTGGGAGCTGTAGACTGGAGCTGTTCCTATTTGGCTATCTTGGAACGATCTCCCCTGGGATAATTTTTCATGACCAAAAAGGATTCTGGTAATGTGCCAGGATCTTCTCACTGTTATGATTCTTCTGGTATAGGAGATCTGTGATTGGCCAGGCACAGTGGCTCAGACTTGTAATTCCATCAGTTTCGGAGGCCATGGTAGGAGGATTGTTTAAGGCCAGGAGTTTGAAACCAACCGGAGCAAAATAGTGAGACCCCATTCCTACAAAATCTTTAAAAAATTAGTTGGGCATGCTGGTGTGTACCTGTAATGCTATTGCTCAGGAGGCTGAGGCAGAAGGATCACTTGAGCCCAGGAATTCAAGGTTACAATGAGCTATGATTGTGCCACTGCATTCTACCCTGGGCAACAGAGCAAGACCTTGTCTCTGAAATAAATAAATATTATAAAAAGAGATAATGTGGTCAAAGACCAGGGTGTGATCTGTGGCCCAATCAAAATATCTGGTCTTTTTCCCTGTTTCCTGACAAGCAGGTTCCAAAACATTTGCAATCTCCTCAGTGATAAGTATGACTTTAATATGCCAATGAGATGACTATGGGGTGAGGGGCTCCTAAATAGCTTCAGGATGGGGGCTGGTTGCCAGAAACACGAAGCTGTGATTAGAGGATTGGAAATTTCAGCAGTATCCCTTACCTCTGAGAAGCAAAGGGGGCTGGAAGTTGAGTTCAGTCACCAGTGGCCATTGATTTAATTAATCTTGCCTACACAATGAAACTTCCATAGAAACCTCTAGAGATTGGGTTTTGGAGAGCTTCCCAATTGCTGAGCACATCCGTGTGTCCATGTGCTGGGAGGATGGTGAACCTCATCTCCATGGGGACAGAGGCTCCTGTGCTCAGAGCCCTCCCAGACCACACCCTGTGCACCTCTTCATCTGGTTGCTCATTTGTACCCTTTATAACTGCTATGGCTTGAATGTTTCCCTAGAAAAGCATCTCTTGGATAATTTATCCTGAATGCAACATTTTTAAGAGGCGGGACCTTTGAGAGGTGATTGGACCATCAGAGCTCTGCCTCCATTAATGAATTAAGTCTGATCATAAAAGGACCTGAGGCTGTGAGTTTGACCTCTTATTCCCCCTACCTCTCACCCTCTCTTGCCCTTTTGCTTTCTACCAGGTACAGTCCTTGGTCTTGGAATTCCCATCCTCAACAACCATGAACCAAATAAATTTCTGTTCGTTTTAAGTTATCCAGTCTCAGGTGTTCTACTATAGTGGCATAATTTAAACCAAGAGTCCGTAACCCCTGGCTGTGGACTGGTACAGGTTCTTGGCTTGGCAGGAACCAGACCACACAGCAGGAGGTCACTGGTGGGTGATAGAGCATGAGCATGACCACCTGAGCTCTGCCTCCTGTTAGATCAGTGGCGGAATTAGATTCTCATAAGAGCATGAACCCTATTGTGAACTCTGCATGTGAGGGATCTACGTTGCATTCTCCATATGAAACAGTAATGCCTGATCATCTGAGGTGGAACAGTTTCATCCTCAATCCATTCCCCTCTATTCCCTGCCACCTCTGCTGGTCCATGGAAAAACTGTCTTCCATGAAATTGGTCCCTGGTGCCAAAAAGTTGGGACCACTGATTTAAGCTATAACAATAATAAACTACAATACTGAGTGTGAAAGAAAAATAAAATTTAGGGACGCCAAATTCACTATACCAAAGGGACAAGTTAAGTTTGGTAACTGAGTGATGGAAAAACCGCCTTTCTTTTGTTCCTAAACAAATAACTGCAAAGATAGAGGAACATATATCTCCCCAGGTGGCCTCCCTCACAAATTGCTCACAAGATAATTCCTTGTGGGCCCCAACATCTTTACTCTAAAACAGAGTTTTGTTGAGTTTCACCCTAACAATGTAAATTAACAGCTTATCTTCACAGGTGAAGGACAAAGACAAGACCAGAAATCATCCCTCCACTCACCTGGAGACAAATGTGTATTTGACTTCTCTACCCAACATTTACTTTGTCTTATGTAAAATGCAGATTTACTGAGCACTCGACGAAAGCATAGTTGACTGTTCCTTTTTCCTCTCCTGCCTGCTCTTTCTCCTGTAAATATTAAAGTCCTCAAAACCCTCTTAGTAAAAAGCATGGGCCACAGATGCTACAATAATTTGTGTCTCTGTTTCCAAGGTACATCTTCAGCTTGGCAAAATAAACTTCTAAATTGATTGATACCTGTCTCAGATGTTTTTTGGTTTACATGGTTATAGCAACTTCCTGAGTTCTTTGAGTTAGTTTAAGAATTCCCAAACCTTGGGAGGTGAGAAACCCCTGACATTGCAGCCATGATAGACAGAAGTGCAGGTAACCTGGAACCCGATAACTTGTGACTTGCATCTGAAGTGAGGACAGACTTGTGGGACTGAGTCCTTAAACCTGTGGAGTCTGAGGCTAACTCCAGGTAGTTAGTGTCAGAATTGAGTCAAATTCTAGGACTCCCAATTGCTGTTGGAGAATCAGAAAATTATTTGGCTGGAGGAAAACCCCATCACCATCCCACAGAGAGAAACTTACAGTATATTGGGGGAACCCACCCCCAATATTTCAACATAGGTTCTTTCTATTTTCCATAAGTGTCGGCCAGCTGAGAAATAAAGAAAGACAGTACAAAGAGAGGAATTTTACAGCTGGGCCACCAGGGGTGACATCACATATCGGTAGGACCGTGATGTCTGCCTGAGTCTCAGACCAACAAGTTTTTATTAAGGGTTTCAAAAGGGGAGGGGGTGTAAGAACAAGGAGTAGGTAAAAAGTCACATGCTTCTGAGTGCAAAAAGCAGAACTACTAATAAGAGTCTAACAAAGATCACATGCTTCTGAGGGAACAAGACAAAGGGCAAAAGCAGAACCACTGATAAGGGTCTATGTTTAGCAGTGCACGTATTGTCTTGATAAACATCTTAAACAACAGAAAACAGGGTTTGAGAGCAGAGAAGTGGTCAGACCACAAGTTTACCAGGGCAGAGTTTTTCCCCACCCTAGTAAGCCTGAGGGTTCTGCAGGAGACCAGGGCATATCTCAGTCCTTATCTCAACTGCATAAGACAGACATTCCCAGAGCGGCCGTTTATAGACCTCCCCCCAGGAATGAATTCCTTCTCCAGTGTATTAATATTAATATTCCTTGCTAGGAAAAGAATTTAGTGATATCTTTCCTACTTGCACGTCTGTTTATAGGCTCTGCGCAAGAAGAAAAATATGGCTGTTTTTGCCCAACCTCGCAGGCAGTCAGACCTTATGGTTGTCTTCCCTTGTTCCATAAAAATTGCTGTTATTCTATTCTTTTTCAAGGTGCACTGATTTCATATTGTTCAAACACACGTTTTACAATCAAATTGTAACACAATTATCACAGTGGTCCTAAGGTGACGTACATCCTCAGCTTATGAAGATAACAGGATTAAGAGATTAAAGTAAAGACAGGCATAAGAAATTATAAAAGTATTATTTGGGAACTGTTAAATGTCCATATTAAAATGAAATCTTCACAATTTATGTTCCTCTGCCACAGCTCCAGCCAGTCCCTCATTCGGGGTCCTTGACTTCCCGCAACAACAGTAAGAGTAAGCAAGTAAACCTCTACCTTCTTCGGTCCCAGAGGAAAAGATAAAAAAAAATTAAGCATTTATTTCATGTCCCTAAGTCTGCTAAACACAGGTTTCTACCAGCTGTTCATTGTCCAGACATGGAGTGGCCCTACCTCTAATCTAGAAGTTAGGATTTTTTAGGCCTTTGAGGGGGTCACATAAAAACTAATAAGTGTCAGAGATTCTCTCCCCAGAAATATTTCCACACACAAGAAAATATAAATATTAATATAAAACATCAGTGTGCAACCAGATCCTCTGAGATCTTACAAACCTGGGTGTTTTAATCCCAGTAAGAGACAATGCCAAGGGAAGATGTGTGAATAATCATTTCACCATCACACCATGCCACTCCAATAATCTGGAGTATGAACTGGGATAGACAAAAACTTGATGTAATAACTTATTTTCAAGGGAATGGGTGGAAAGATGTTATTTATTAGTCACCGGTTCATTCAGACACTCTGAATCCCTACAGATACTAGATAAATTTCTTTTCTTGGAGCACTGCTCCAATAATTAAAATTTATCATTCTTTTCCCACCCTTCACACTCCAGCACTTGAACCCTCTTACTACATCAGAATTCCACACTGTCAATGAAAAGAGGCAAACTTCATAAAATATTTGAAGAGATTTATTCTGAGCCAAATACGAGTGACCACAGCCCATGACACGTCCCTCAGGAGACCCTGAGAGCATGTGCTCAATGTGGTTGGGGTATGGGTTGGTTTTATACATTTTAGGAAGATATGAGACACTAATAATATATATTTAAGATATACATTGGTTCAGTCCAGAAAAGCAGAACAATTTGAAGCAAGCGAGGGTTGGGGGTTACTGCTTCTAGGTTATAGGTAGATTTTAAAATGTTCTGATTGGCAATTGGTTGAGTTATTATCAATAAAAAGCAATGTCTGGGTTATGATAAGAGGTTGTGGAGTCCAAAATTTTATCATGCAGTTGAAGCCTCCAGGTGCCAGGCTTCAGAGAGAATAGATTATAATGTTTCTGATCAGACTTAAGGTCTGTGTTGATGTTAATTGCTGGTCAGCTTTTCCTGAATTCCAAAAGGGAAGAGGCCATAATGAGGCATGTTCAACACCTGCTTCCCATGGTGGCCTGAGCCAGTCTTTCAAGTTAATTTTTGAGCGCCCTGGCTGAGGAGGGTGTCCATTAAGATGGTTGGGAGAGGGTGGGTTTGAAGTTTATTTTCGGTTTACAACATGTAAAGTGTTAAGAGGAGATAGAAACCACCCCCATCCCTAGAAGAGCACAACACTCCAGTCACCCCTGCAGTTGATAATGGACATGAGTCTTAAACTCCATCAGTCAGATGACCACCTGCTGAAGCAGCATTGTTGTCTCAGGTAAATACTCAGGGTTCATTGTATCTCACCAAGAAGATTAAGGACAGTGACACACAAGGAGTGAGTTTATTGGCCGGTGCTATGTTGTCTGCTCTTTACTGAACACATGGCTGGCAAAAAGAAGGGAAGATGGAGCCATCATTGTGAACACGCCTAGTCCCAGATGTCCTTTTCCTATTGGCACAGCTGCCAGCATTCACTCGTGCAAGCTTCCAGCTTGCTTGTCTATGTCTGAAGCTTGATTTTACAGGCTGGTCTTTGTCAGAAAAGAAAACGATTTGGGGCCTGCTTTCCATTAAAAAGAAAACCTTACTGAGACTTCTGTACCCTCACTACCTGCCTAAATAATTTCTTCTTAAATCCTATATCACTGCCAGACTCTGAGCTAGAATGAGGTGACACAGAAAGGCTGGGATTGTGCAGAATGCATTTTAGTAAACATGGCTGAGTGTCAGTAGTGATGTCCAGTTGCCAGGGGCAGCAGTGACATCTATCCTAGCCTTGGGGTCCAGTGTCCAGCACCAGGATGTCAGAGGTGTGAGCAGTGGTGTCTGTGCTCAGCAGCAGGAGCAGTTGTTCCTAGGAGGGACCTGATCCAGGGGCGTGGGCTATGGATTCTTTTCTGGGATGTGTAGTTTTCAGCCTGGTTCTGTGGCCTTCCCCACAATAAAATTAACCCCCAATACCAGGTATACTACTTTATGTATAAATTACAGAAATTTGTTTTCCATAGTTTTCTCCAAGAGGTGAGTGAGAAATGAAACTATGGACCAGGGTCAGAGAGCAGCATTCGGAGGTGTTCCTTGTGTGACAGCCACATCCTGAATTGTCTACCTGGCCTCTACCTCATGGTAGAGAGATCAACAGGGATTATCACATCTCTTAACTGATGATATACATCCTCCCTTTCCTTTCTGCAAGAAAAATCCTCTTTTAAACAGGGTTTGAAAACCCACCCACCCACCCTGGGCACTCTCTGATCTCTGAGGTTCCTGATCTGGCTGAGCAACAAGATTTCTGGTGGAGGCTTAGAAAATACTCAGGCCACTCCTCAGAACCCCTGTCTCACAATATTATGCACAAGACCAAGGAATCATTTACATAACAAGCCCTACAGGAGAGGCCGATGCAGACGTGGGGTCCTGGTGTTCTGGCTACTCCAAGTGTGATCTGGAGACCAGCAATGTGAGCTCCAGCCTTGTCATAAATCCAGAATCTCTTGCTCGACTCCAGACTTCCTGGATCTCAGCACCACATCCAGGTGATCCTGGTGCACACGGGAGTTCCTTGTCTAAGCGTCCTCTAGACGTGGGGCCAGAACTGTGCAGTCTGCTCTGTGGTCTGATCAGATCCCTTAGAACTGGAGGTCCAGGGTTCAGTCCTTGCGCTGATTCTTTTCCACAGTCAGTCACTCCCTTGGTGCTTCATCCATGCTTGAGGTTTTAAGTATCGTTTATGTGGTGTGAGCTCCTAAATCTATTTCTCCAGCCCAGTCCTTTCCCCTGAACTGTGGAGTTGTCTGCCCAGCTGCCACCCCAGCTCCCCCACCTGCATTCCTAGTAGACATCTCCTCCACTGAGTGCCTGTGATGCCCCCTCCTCAGGATGCTCCTGCCAGAGTCTCCCCATCTCCACTGACAGCAGCTCCACCCTTCCTTCTACTCACTCATTTTACAACTATGGGTGTCCTTGATTCGTCTTTCTCACACCACAGATACAATCCATTGGCAAATGCTGTGAGTCCATCTTCAAATGCATCCAGAATCCCCTCACGTCCCACTATTTCCTGTGCTCACACCCCAGTCAAGGTAACCGACATCTCCAGCCTGGAATACTGCACTCGATTCCTGTTTTCCCTTCTGCCTCCCTCATCCCTCGCCTTTCAATTCTGTTCTCAGCACAGCCATCAGAGATCCTTTTAAGAAAGAAGTCATATCATGGCTCTTCTGCTCAAAACTGTCCTCTAACTCCCCATCCCACTCAGAGCAGAGGTCAGACCCAACCCCACTCCCCTCAAGCCCACCTGCTCTGGCCATACCTCTGACCTCATCTAGTTTCTCTGTCCAGCCCTCCTGGCCTCCTTGCTCTTCTGGGAACACAGACACCTTCCTGCCCTAGTGCATTTGGACTGGAGTTTCCTTGCCTAGAAAGAACTTCCCCAGACATCCTCATGTCCCTCAAATCTTTCCTCAAAGGTCATCTTTGCAACAAGGCACACATTGACAACTCCTGTCCAACAGCCACCTTCCCTGTCCCCACTGCCCATACCCGGATCACCTGCCTCATGGCACTTACCACCTTCCATCACTTTCTTTTCTTACTGTGGTTATAGTGTATGTATCGTCTGCCTCTTACCACTGGAGCATATGCTCAGATATTTTTCTGATTTTACTTCAATGGTGTTCCCCAGATGCAGAACTTTTCTGTCCTGTGTCTGGCTGACAACAAAGGTCAGTTGAATGATCAGTGTAGAGCACCTCCTATTCTAAAGCCAGTATCTTTATTAACATAGCCTCAGGCCAAGTGCTGTTTTGTGGCAGCTGCAGCACAAGGTCCCCTCACACTGACACCGAGGCCGCCTGTACTTTTCTCAGCAGGGCTGCTTGTGTGTCCTCCCTCCCCTATCCCTCCTCCCACACCAACCGCCCCGCACACTGCAGCACACAATCAGGTTTCTCTCTTCAGGAAGGAACAATTCTAGACTATGGACCCAATTTTACAAACAAATATAAATCTAAATTAGGCTCTGCTTTAGATTCATGAGTTGGGATTGGAGTCAGCACGAAGATTACTGGAATCAGGGAAGGGAGAGAGGGCAGGAGACCAAAGCAGAAGAGGAGCCCTATAAGGAGGGCAGGAGCTGAATGGGTCTGAAAATTTGTCTCAGAAAGCACAGGGACTCCCGTGTGCAGGGGCTGCCCTGGGCGATGTGTGAGCCTCTGTGGTCACAGCTCCTGCTGGACAAGTTTCCACTGAAGGGACAAGGACAATGGAGCAGTGAAGGTGACCCAGCTAAGGACTGACTACATAAAGCCCATGAAGAACTGAACAGCAACTAGGCACAGGCCCCCGTCCACACTCGGCTCCTCACAGCCTTCCCCACCCCCACCTGCAACAGACTCAGCACAGAGAACATGCGGATTCTGGAAAGTTCTCAGGTCTTTATTTGCTCTCTCAACTTCCAGGAATTGACTTATTTAATTAATCCATCAACCCTTCATAGCAAATATTTGAGAAAACAAATTTATATTCAGGTTCCTAACTTCATTAGGGAAGTAAGAAGTTGCAGCTCAGCGCACCATGAAGTTGAGACAGAGATGGAGACATCCAGCCCACTTCTCTGGAACAGGAAAGATGATCGGGGAGGGAACACAGGTCAGTGTGGGGACAGGGGTCACGGTGGACACGGGGGTGGGCTGTCTCTCCACCTCCTCACATTATGCTAACAGGAACGCAGACACATTCAGATGCCTTTGCAGAAAGAGATGCCAGAGGCTCTTGAAGTCACAAAGGAGAGGTGTGAAGAAATCCTGCATCTCAGTCCCACACAGGCAGCTGTCTCAGGCTACAGAACACAATAGTCATGAACAAATTCAGGTCAGTCATGGTAAGTGATCACACTCTGAACAGCTCACCACACATTCGAAACGTCCCAATCAAAGGATCCCCATTACCTAGGCCTTTTCCCTCTGCCCCACCCCCGACCACTTCAGCTCCCCAGAATCTCACCTTTACAAGCGATGAGAGACTCATCAGAGCCCTGGGCACTGTTGCTGGCTGGGGTAGAACAAAAAAAAAGACCTGGTCAGAGCCCGCAGGAGATGTGGGACAAGAGGAATTATGGGGTGGGTGAGCTCCTCCACACGCCCACCGCCATCACTTACACGCAGCCTGAGAGCAGCTCCCTCCTTTTCCACCTGTGGGAAGAAAATGCCCTGTGAGGGGACAGGGAGGAGTCAGGGCCATGCGATCTTAGGGGAACCTCCTAGTCTTGGACCCAAGAGAAGTTTCCAGAACTATGACTGCAGACCCAGGGCAGGATCAGGAAACACGGGGAAAGCAGCTGTGGGTTCTGGAGCAACTGCCCTCCTAAGGTCTGTCCTTAGCAGGGACCTTCCCCTGACTCATGAATGCTGGAATCAAGGACCCCAACACCATAATCATCAAGGTGATACATCTGTCCTTCATTGTCATGTGCTTCACAACAGAGTAAGTGCTGGCACACAGGGTCCCAGGCTGGGATGGCCCATGTGTGGATGGTGCTTCCAGTAACGAGGTGGGGCACACTTCTACCTGGGGCTTGAAACTCCCAGTGGAACAAGAAAACCCAGACCCCACTCCTCACCCCTTCCCTACCTGAGCTCTTCCTCCTACACATCACAACAGCCACCACAGCTCCTAGGACAGCTAGGACAGCCAGGACAGCCAGGCCAGCAACGATGCCCACGATGGGGATGGTGGGCTGGGAAGACGGCTCTGGGAAAGGAGGGGAAGGTGAGGGGCCCTGACCCCCAAGCCTCAGCCCTGACCTGGCTGAAGGGCTCCAGGACTTCTGCTTTCCCTGAGAAGACACATCACCCCTCATCCCCCTCCTTACCCCATCTCAGGGTGAGGGGCTCCGGCAGCCCCTCGTGCTGCACATGGCACGTGTATCTCTGCTCTTCTCCAGAAGGCACCACCACAGCTGCCCACTTCTGGAAGGTTCCATCTCCTGCTGGCCTGGTCTCCACAAGCTCAGTGTCCTGAGTTTGGTCCTCCCCATCCCACTGCCAGGTCAGTGTGATCTCCGCAGGGTAGAAGCCCAGGGCCCAGCACCTCAGGGTGGCCTCATGGTCAGAGACGGGATGGTGGGTCACGTGTGTCTTTGGGTGTTCTGACGGGAAGAGTCAGAAAATTCAGACACTTTGTATCTCTCTTGCGACACTCCAACAGCGCCCATGTGACCATCCTGAGAACGGACAGGACACCTGGGGTGGGGAAGGGGGCACAGAACCCAGACGCCAGCCTGGACACAGGCACCTGGGATAATCTCCTATTCATTGGAAAGTTCTAGTCTCTGAGGGAGGAACAGCGACTTCTGGTCCTGACCTGAGTGGAGGCCGAAGGACTCAGAAAAGCTGGAATCAAACCTTCAAACACATTGAGCGTGAGGCAGAGAACAAGGCCTGAGAGAAAGGTCAGCAGCCTGACCACAGCTGCTGCAGTGGTCAAAGTGGTCAAAGGGGACCCCTGATCAGTATTCTAGGGACTGTCTTCCCCTCCATTTCCTCAAGGACTTCATCCCTTAATTGTCCTAGAGAGCAGAGGGGGCCCTCAGAGGAAACTCAGGAAAACTCATCCCATTCTCCATTCAAGGGAGGGCGATATTCTAGCGCTGATCCCATTTTCCTCCCCTCCTCGTGGGAGGCCATCCCGGGAGATCTACAGGAGATGGGGAAGGCTCCCCACTGCCCCTGGTACCCGCGCGCTGCAGCGTCTCCTTCCCATTCTTCAGGTATCTGCGGAGCCACTCCACGCACAGGCCCTCCAGGTAGGCTCTCAGCTGCTCCGCCTCACGGGCCGCCTCCCACTTGCGCTGGGTGATCTGAGCCGCCGTGTCCGCGGCGGTCCAGGAGCGCAGATCCTCGTTCAGGGCGATGTAATCCTTGCCGTCGTAGGCGTACTGGTCATACCCGCGGAGGAGGCGCCCGTCGGGCCCCACGTCGCAGCCATACATCCTCTGGATGATGTGAGACCCTGGCCCCGCCCCCGCGGTCAGCCCCGTCCCCCGAGCCCCGCCCCGCCCCGACCAACCCGCGGGGATTTTGGCCTAAACTGAAAATGAAACCGGGTAAAGGTGACTGGGGCTCTCTCCGGTCGAGGGTCTGGGCGGGTTCCGCAGCCTCGGGGTGGATCTCAGACCGGGAGACTTGGGGCGACCCGGGCCGTCCGTGGGGGATGAGGAGGGGTCGTGACCTGCGCCCCGGGCCGGGGTCACTCACCGGCCTCGCTCTGGTTGTAGTAGCCGCGCAGGTTCCGCAGGCTCACTCGGTCAGTCTGTGCCTGGCGCTTGTACTTCTGTGTCTCCCGGTCCCAATACTCCGGCCCCTCCTGCTCCACCCACGGCGCCCGCGGCTCCCCTCTCGGACTCGCGGCGTCGCTGTCGAACCGCACGAACTGCGTGTCGTCCACGTAGCCCACTGCGATGAAGTGGGGCTCCCCGCGGCCGGGCCGGGACACAGCGGTGTAGAAATACCTCATGGAGTGGGAGCCTGGGGGCGAGGAGGGGCTGAGACCCGCCCGACCCTCCTCCCTGCGCGGCTCCCCGGGTCCTGCGCCCTCGCCGGGCGGGCCCCTCGCTCCTCTCCGCAGAGGCCGATTCCCTCCCAACCCCGCACTCACCGGCCCAGGTCTCGGTCAGGGCCAGGGCTCCCGAGAGCAGCAGGATGAGGGTTCGGGGCGCCATGACCCGCATCTCGGCGTCTGGGGAGAATCTGAGTCCGGGTGGGTGACTGGGGACTTCAGAACCGGGACTGCGGAGACGCTGATTGGCTTCTCTAGAATCCGACACCCAATGGGAGTGGGAATTGGGGACGCGTCATGAGTATTCAGGAAGAAGGACCCGACGCAGGTTGGGAGAAGAAGTGAAACTCAGGGGAGTGGAGAATCCTCAACGCGGCGCCTCCCCAGTGCAGACACGGCCCTTGGAGCCTGAGACCCTGAGAGCCCCGCCCGGGACCTGGGACTTCGTCCTGATTCCTCTTCTCCTACACCAAGCATCTTTGTCACACTGTGTGCCTGAGTCCTGGCCAAGGATCTGTCTGTGGAAACCAGGGAGAGACCCCCAGGCTGCGCCCAGCCCCTTCCCCTTCACTTCTCCTGGAATCCCCGTCCCTGAACTGGACTCCCTGCCTCCCACTCTTTGCCTTACCTTACCTCAGGTAATATTAAACTACATCCAGCAAAATAAAGGACACTTACCTCTCCCCTTGGACTCTTGTACAGGGAAACTCACCATGGGGAACTTGATGCCAGACAGTGAGCTCGCCCTGTGAATGGACGTGTAGAGTCAGGAGTTTTCTCTTTAAACCTGGTGAAGTTTTGTCTGAAAGCACCAGGTAGAGATTCTCATAGAGACCAGTTTCCTTTTTGTTTATTGATACAGTAGGTAGCACAATATTGGTAATCCCTGAATGATTAGAATTCCAATCTGTGAAAGACCTGTGTCAAAACTGCATTACAATTAAATTCTCAAAGCTCCTGTTTTACTTTCGCAGACTATGGATCTGTGACTCTGGGTTGTTGCATTTAAAGTTATCCTCATTCTCTAGCCAGAGTTTCCCTGTGTGAGTCCAGAACATCTCCTGAATACAAAGAAGCAGGGTTTGTTACTGTCTATTGCAACCGGGAGCCTGTAGTCATCACCTCAAAGTTGTGAGGGCTCCATGCAGTCCCAATGCTCTTCACCAGCGCTCCAGCACTGCCCGTTTTCCGGAACTATGCACATCTAAGCAGTGTGCATATTTTATTTGGACACTTGATATTTTTGTAACCCCTTTTTAAAAAAAAATCATAAGGAGCCCATTAGTTTTAAGGCAGTCACACAAAATGTATTAAATACCGAATGCAAAGAACCCCCTGCCAGGCTCTTCTACTGCTTTAGAATTCTTTCCTCTGCTCCTTTTCCTCACCTCCTGCCTCTCCAGCCCTTCTGTCTGCCCCTCTCATCCCTCACACCCTCTTTCCCCTTTAGTCCCCGCCACCCTGTCACTCCTGAATTGTGGCACTAACACTGTCCCTCACTTCCTGCCCATGTCTGTTCTCCCCATAGTGCTCAGCAGTCCTGCTAATGTGACTCAGGTCGTGTCATTTCTTCACTTATAATGGTTGGATTTTGGTCTACCATTTTGCTATACGTTTTCAATTTGTCTCATATCTTTTTGTTTCTGTTCCTCCTTTGCTACTTTCTTATGTTTCAAGTAAACATTTTTTAGCTTATGGTTTTAATTCTCCTAGTGGCTTTTAGCTATATTTCTTTACATTAATTTTTTATTGTTGTAAGAATTGAAACCCAATTCCTTGACTTTTCACAGTGAAATTCAGGTAATATTAAGCTGCATCCAGCAAAATAAAGGACACTTCAAATGGTGTAGTTTCATTTAAACTATCATTATGCTATTATTATTGTATATGTTACATCAATATACGTTATAAACTCAACAATACAGTGTAATACTTTTTGTTTTAGACAAGCAGTCACGTATCTTCAGGAAATTAAGAAAATGGGTGTGTATGTGATATGTGTATGTGCATCATTTCTGTTGTTAATTGTTCCTTTCTGTGTATCTGGGTCACCATCTAGTATCATTTCCCTTCAGCCTGTAGAACGTCCTTTAAAATTACATGTAGTACAGGACCCCTAGGAAATGAATTTTATGGGTTTGATGATCTAACAATGTCTTTATTTTTGCCTTCTTTCCTCCCCCCTCCCCCCCCCTTTTTTTTTTTTTTTTTTTTTTTTTGCTTATCAGGGCGTTTACGTGTAAAAAAATTCACCAGTTTTAGCTGCACTTTTTGGTGGATATTGGTAATTATTTATAGTGTAACTACCACACTGCCCAGTAGAGAAACACCAAATGCAAAGATCCTCCTACTAGGCCCCTCCACTGCTTTAGAGTCCTTTCCCCTGCTCCTCGTCCTCTCCTCCTGCTTCCCCAGCCCTTCTCTCTGCCCCTTATCCCTCAGACCTTCTTCTCCCCTTACTTCCCCCTCCCAGTCACTCCTGAGTTGTGGCGCTGTAGAGGACAGTTTCTTTTCCCTAAAAACTTTCTTTATGCCCCTTTCTATTTAATCCTTGCCTCCCACCCTCACCCCCTTCCCTTCATTCAACCACTGCTGTGCTTTCTGTCACTGCAATAGTGACATTTCTAGAATTTCATGGACATGCAATCATATGTTATGTAGTCTTTTGTTTGGTCTCTCCCTTAGCATAACGATGTTTGAGATGATGCCATTCATTCATTTTTGTTGCTGAGCAGCTGCCGAGTATTGCTGGAATCCCAGTTTATTCATTGGTTTCTGTGTCTCCAGTTGATAGACATGTGGATTCCTCCAGTTAGGGCTTGTTATTAATGAAGCCACTATAAATAACTGCTTACAAGTGTGGACTTACATTTTTATTTCTTTTGGATAAATACGTATTTGTGGAATTGCTGGGCCATGTGGTAATAGATGGGTAACTGTATAAGAAACTGCCATACCACTTTACAAATTGGCTGCCACATTTTTTGCATTCCTACCAGCAATATCAGACATTCCTATTTTTTCCATATTCTTGCCAGTGTTAAGACTTATCATATGTCTTTTTAACTTTACCTGCTCTAGGTGATGTGTGATGGTTTCTCATTGTGGTTTTAACTTGCACTTCTTTGATGACTAGTATTGTTTGCTATCTTTTCATGTTCATCTAAGCGACTTATTACATATATTTTATGAACTATTTTGCAAATTCAATGATTAATTCCAGAGACTTTTTCAGAATTCCCTAGTGTTTTCTACATATACAATGAAGCTGGTGACAAAGAAAGACTTTCATTTCTTCCTTTCTTATCCATTGATCTATTTTCTTTTAAAATTATTTTTATTTGGTAGAGATGAGGTCTCACTTATCAGGCTGGTCTCAAACTCCTGATCTCAAGTGATCCTCCCACCTCAGCCTCCCAAAATGCAGGGATTACAGGCATGAGCCACCATGCCTGGTCCTTGTTGCACTGGTTAGGATGACTGTTAGGTGTTTAAACAAGAATGATGAGAGCTCACATGTTTGTTTACAAGGAACTTAAACAAATTTACAAGAAAAAAACCCATCCCCATCAAAAAGTGGGCAAAGGATATAAACAGACACTTCTCAGAGGAAGACATTTACGTGGCCAAGAAACATATGAAAAAAAGCTCACACATGTATATGAAACATGACTGTTTATAATCCTATCCAAAAAAGAACTGATTTCAAGCAACAGCAGTATTACTTCCATTCAATACTTGGACCTGCAAACATCAAAAAAGCCACTGGAGAAACTGAACGACTCTCTGAAAGCCTTAAACTAAGATATGAAGAAGTTGAAATCTGGAAAAAACTTGAGGAAAAGGACAGGCAGGGGGAAGCACAGTGGCTACAACAAAAAAGGCAGGAAACAGGAAGAGAGGATGGCAGCACGTTGGCTAAAGATTCTTTGGAGATTGTATTGGATTCCAAAGACAAAACCCAAAAGAGCAATGGTGAAAAGAATGAAAAATGTGAGACCAAAGAGAAAGGAGCAATCACAGCAAAGGAACTATACACAATGATGATGGATAAAAACATCAGCTTGATTATAATGGATGCTCAAAGAATGCAGGATTATCAGGATTCCTGTATTTTACATTCTCTCAGTGTTCCTGGAAAAGCCATCAGTCCAGGAGTCACTGCTAGCTGGATTGAAGCACACCTCCCAGATGATTCTATAGATACATGGAAGAAGAGGGGGAATGTGGAGTATATGGTACTTCTTGACTGGTTTAGTTCTGCAAAAGATTTACAGATTGGAACAACACTCTGGCATCTGAAAGATGCACTTTTCAAGTGGGAAAGTAAAACTGTCCTGTGCAATGGGCCTTGGGCCTTTGGTTTTAGAGGGAGGCTATAAAAACTGGTTCCTTTGCTATTCCCAGTATACAACAAATGCTAAGGTCACTCCACCCCCACAACACCAGAATGAAGAGTTGTCTATCTCATTGGATTTTACTTATCCCTCATTGGAAGAATCAATTCCTTCTAAACCTGCTGCCGAGATGCCACCTCCACCTATAGAAGTGGATGAAGACATAGAATTGATAAGTGATCAAATAAGTGATAATGATCAAAATGAGAGGACAGGACCACTGAATATATCAATTCCAGTTGAATCAGTTGCTGCTTCTAAATCTGATGTTTCACCCATCATTCAGCCAGTGCCTAGCATAAAGAATGTTCCACAGATTGATCATACTAAAAAACTGGCAGTCAAATTGCCTGAAGAGCATATAATCAAATCTGAAAGTACAAATCATGAGCAACAGTCTCCTCAGAATGAAAAAGTTATTCCTGATTGTTCCGCCAAGCCAGTAGTTTCCTCTCCAACTCTCATGTTAACAGATGAAGAAAAGGCTCATATTCATGCAGAAACTGCTCTTCTAATGGAGAAAAACAAACAAGAAAAAGAACTTCAGGAAAGACAGCAAGGGAAACAGAAAGAAACTGAGGAGGGAAGAACACGAGCAAAAAGCCAAAAAGAAACAAGAAGCTGAAGAAAATGAAATTACACAGAAGCAACAAAAAGCAAAAGAAGAAATGGAGAAGAAAGAACGTGAACAGGCCAAGAAAGAGGATAAAGAAATCTCAGCAAAGAAGGGCAAAGAAATAACAAGAGTAAAAAGACAAAGTAAAAGTGATCATGAAACCTCTGGTGCCGAGAAGTCTGTAGAGGACAGGGGGAGAAGATGTTCAACCCCAGAAGTACAGAAAAAGTCAACAAGAGATGTGTCCCATACATCTGCGACAGGGGATTCAGGTTCAGGCAAGCCTTTTAAGATTAAAGGACAACCAGAAACTGGAATTCTAAGGACAGAAACTTTTAGAGAGGATACAGATGATACTGAAAGAAATAAAACTCAACGAGAACCTTCGATAATAGCACGAAGTGAAGAAATGGGGAGGATGGTACCAGGACTGCCTTCAGGCTGGGCCAAGTTTCTTGATCCAATCACTGGAACGTTTCATTATTATCATTCACCACTAACACTGTTCATATGTACCCACTGGAAATGGCTCCTTCATCTGCACCTCCTTCCACCCCTCCAACTCATAAAGGCAAGCCACAGATTCCTGCTAAGCAGGATAGGGAACCTTCCAAACTGAAATGCTCTTACTCCTCCCCAGATATAACCCAGGCTATTCAAGAGGAAGCCAGCAGTAACTCCAACAGTTAATCAGGAAGACAAGCCAACATGCTACCCTAAAGCTGAGATCTCAAGGCTTTCTGCTTCTCAGATTTGGAAACTCAATCCTGTTTTTGGAGGTTCTGGACCAGCTCTTACTGGACTTCGTAACTTAGGAAATACTTGTTATATGAACTCAATATTGCAGTGCCTATGTAATGCTCCACATTTGGCTGATTATTTCAACCGAAACTGTTATCAGGATGATATTAACAAGTCAAATTTGTTAGGGGCATAAAGGTGAAGTGGCAGAAGAATTTGGTATAATCATGAAAGCCCCGTGGACAGGACAGTATAGATATATCAGTCCAA
Source organism: Homo sapiens (assembly GCF_000001405.40). Lineage (NCBI taxonomy): Eukaryota > Metazoa > Chordata > Mammalia > Primates > Hominidae > Homo > Homo sapiens. The sequence goes on from NT_167247.2 coordinate 2,620,643, forward strand.
AAGACCTTAAAGTCACCATTGGGAAGATCAATTACCAGTTTGCAGGATACAGTCAAGATTCACAAGAATTTCTTCTGTTCCTAATGGATGGTCTCCATGAAGATCTAAATAAAACTGATAATCGGAAGACATATAAAGAAGAAAATAATGATCATCTCAATGACTTTAAAGCTGCAGAACATGCCTGGCAGAAACACAAGCGGCTCTATGAGTCTATTATTGTTGCACTTTTTCAGGGTCAATTCAAATCTACAGTACAGTGCCTCACCCGTCACAAAAAGTCTAGGACACTTGAGGCCTTCATGTATTTGTCTCTACTGATAGCATCCACAAGTAAATGTACATTATAGGATTGCCTTAGATTATTTTCTAAAGAAGAAAAACTCATAGATAATAACAGATTTTACTGCAATCTTTGCAGAGCTCGACGGGATTCTTAAAAAAGAAATCTGGAAGTTACCACCTGTGCTTTTAGTGCATCTGAAACATTTTTCCTACAATGGCAGGTGGAAACAAAAATTACAGACATCTGTGGACTTCCTGTTAGAAAATCTTGCCTTGTCACAGTATGTTATTGGTCCAAAGAACAATTTGAAGAAATATAATTTGTTTTCTGTTTCAGATCACTGCGGTGGGCTGGATGGAGGCCATTACACAGCCTACTGTAAAAATGCAGCAAAACAGCGGTGGTTTAAGTTTGATGATCATGAAGTTTCTGATATCTCTGTTTCTTCTGTGAAATCTTCAGCAGCTTATATCCTCTTTTATACTTCTTTGGGACCATGAGTAACTGATGTAGGCACATAAGGAGACATAGGTTATAAACTAGTTATCTTTTAAAAGGCTCAGCAACACAATTCTTGAAATGCTTATCAAGATAATGGTAGCAATAGCTGGCCATTTAGAGGAATTCTAGGACAGTGGGAGCTGTGTTACTAGCACTATATAATTCCTGTCAGTGGTGACAAATAACACTTAACAAGTATTGCAGTAAGCATCACTTACAGGTACCATTTATTTCAAAACAACTTTTTTAGTCTGCTCCAAAGTTAAAATAATTAACTAGCTAAGCATTATTATTCTACTGGTCTAAAAACCATTGTACCCTTTTTTTCCTTTTCACTGTTACAGCCTTTTCACATTTCTAAATCCCATCTTCATATACTATGAATACTCTAGAATGATGTGAAGCAGATAGGAATGTATGTGTACATATTTATTGCATACTTACACATCAAATCGATATACATAGTTTAACATGTGGTCCTTTCGTGAAACTTAGAACTCAGAGGATTGCATTTTTTTCTTTGAGCATATTTTGAGTAACTGCAGTGCTTTCTTAGGGAAATGACAGGGCAAAGCTATTTTTCTGTTGGCTTTGGGGGCATTTGGGTGCGCTAAATCTTTATCTTAAAAAATAAATGGAAACTTCCTTTAATTTTTTAAAATGAGACATTAAAATCTTAATGAGAAAAATTAAAAAAGCTCAATATCACTGCTCATTAGAGAAATGTAAATCAAAGCCACAATGAGATACCATCTCCCGCCAGTCAGAATGGTAATTATTAAAAAGTCAAGAAACAATAGATGCTGGTGAGGCTGTGGAGAAATAGGAACACTTTTACACTGTTGTTGGGAATGTAAACTAGTTCAACCATTGTGGAAGACAGTGTGGCCATTCCTCAGAGATCGAGAACCAGAAATACTATTTGACGCTTTGGGTATCTACCCAAAGGAATATAAATCATTCTACTATAAAGACACATGCACACGTATGTTTACTGCAGCACTATTTACAATAGCAAAGACTTGGAACCAACCCAAATGTCCATCAGTGATAGATGGATAAAGAAAATGTGGTGCATACCACCATGGAATAGTACACAGCCAGAAAAAGGAATGAGTTCATGTCCTTTGCAGGGACATGGATGAAGCTGGAAGTCATCATCCTCAGCAAACTAACACGGGAACAGAAAACAAAGCACCTCATGTTCTCATTCCTAAGTGAGAGTTGAACAATGACAACACATGGACACAGGGAGGGGAACAACACATATCAGGGCCTTTTGGGGAGTGTGGGGGGCAAGGGACGGGAACTTAGAGGATGGGTCAATAGGTGCAGCAAACCACCATGGCAGACTATACGTATGTAACAAACCTGCAGGTTCTGCACATGTATCCTGGAACCTAAAGTAAAATAAAACAAAGCAAATTAAAAAAAGAAAGCCCATGTCTTACACGTATGCATATGTTCATTGCAGCACTATTCACAATAGCAAAGACATGGAATCAACCTAAATGTCCATCAGTGGTAGACTGGATAAAGAAAATGTGGCAAATATGCTCTACCGGCAGGATTTGATGGCGTGATGTCTCACAGAAAGTTCTCCACTCCCAGACATGGGTCCCTCGGCTTCCTGCCTTGGAAGCGCAGCAGCAGGCATCGTGGGAAGGTGAAGAGCTTCCCTAAGGATGACCCATCCAAGCCGGTCCACCTCACAGCCTTCCTGGGATACAAGGCTGGCATGACCCACATCGTGCGGGAAGTCGACAGGCCAGGATCCAAGGTGAACAAGAAGGAGGTGGTGGAGGCTGTGACCATTGTGGAGAGGCCACCAGTGGGCATTGTGGGCTGCGTGGAAACCCCTCAAGGCTTCCGGACTTGCAAGACTGTCTTCGCTGAGCACATCAGTGATGAATGCAAGAGGCGTTTCTATAAGAACTGGCATAAATCTAAGAAGAAGGCCTTTACCAAGTACTGCAAGAAATGGCAGGATGAGGATGGCAAGAAGCAGCTGGAGAAGGACTTCAGCAGCATGAAGAAGTACTGCCAAGTCATCTGCGTCATTGCCCACACCCAGATGCACCTGCTTCCTCTGTGCCAGAAGAAGGCCCACCTGATGGAGATCCAGGTGAATGGAGGCACTGTGGCTGAGAAGCTGGACTGGGCTGGCGAGAGGCTCAAGCACCAGGTACCTGTGAACCAAGTGTTTGGGCAGGATGAGATGATCGACGTCATCAGGGTGACCAAGGGCAAAGGCTACAAAAGGGTCACCAGTCGTTGGCACACCAAGAAGCTGCCCCGCAAGACCCACCAAGGCCTGTGCAAGGTGGCCTGTATTGGGGCATGGCATCCTGCTCGTGTGGGCTTCTCTGTGGTACGTGGTGGGCAGAAAGGCTACCATCACCGCACTGAGATCAACAAGATCTATAGGATTGGCTAGGGCTACCTTATCAAGGATGGCAAGCTGATCAAGAACAATGCCTCCACTGACTATGACCTGTCTGACAAGAGCATCAACCCTTTGGGTGGCTTCGTCCACTATGGTGAAGTGACCAATGACTTTGTCATGCTGAAAGGCTGTGTGGTGGGAACCAAGAAGTGGGTGCTCACCCTCCACAAGTCCTTGCTGGTGCAGACAAAGCAGCGGGCTCTGGAGAAGATTGACCTTAAGTTCATTGACACCCCCTCCAAGTTTGGCCATGGCCGCTTCCAGACCACGGAGGAGAAGAAAGCATTCATGGGACCACTCAAGAAACACCGAATTGCAAAGGAAGAAGGAGCTTAATGCTGGGAACAGATATTGCAACTGGTGGGATCTCAATAAAAGTTATTTTCCATTAAAAAAAAAAGAAAAAGAAAATGTGGCACATATACACCACAGAATACCATGCAGCCATAAAAAAGAATGAGATCATGTCCTTTGCAGGAACATGGATGGAGTTGGAGGCCATTATCCTTAGCAAACTGAGGCAGGAACAGAAAACCAATTACCACATGTTCTCACTTATAAGTAGGAGTTATATGATGAGAACACATGGACACGCAGAAGGGAACAACACACACTGGGGTCCACTTGAGGGTAGAGGAGGAGGGAAAGGATCAGGAAAAATAGCTAATGGGTACTAAGGCTTAATACTTGGGTGGGTACTAATGGGTACAGAAATAATCTGTACAATAAAACCGCATGACACAAGTTTACCTATATAACAAACCTGTACATGTACTCCTTAACTAAAAATAAAAGTTAAATTAAAAAAAAAAGAAACAAAGAAACTGCATATCTGGAAAGAGCATATGGTTGGGTTCTGTGTTTTGTTTTTTTTTTTAACCAATTCACACAATCTCTGCCCTTCATTGGAGTGTTGATTCATATAGGTTTTTTTTTCATTATTGATAAGTTTTAGGTCTACCATGTTATTTCCTCAGTTTTGGTTTCTCTGTTCCTCTTGTCCTGACCAATGACTTCTTATTAGAAACCATAGAAACAAAAGAAAGTAGAATAACACCTTTAAAGTGCTGGAAGAAAAAAAGGACAACTAAGAATTCTATATCCAGCACAGATGTCCTTCAAGGACAGGCAAAATAAGGAGATGTTTCAGGTAAAAGAAAATTAAGAGAATTTGTCACCAGCAGATCTGCACAATAACAATTGGTAAAGAAAATTCTTCAGGCTAAAGGCAAATGATACCAGGTGGGAAATGAGGTTATCAGAAAAGATGAAGATGATCAAAAATGGTAAATACTGAGCTAAGTGCAAAAGGCTATCTTGTTCCCCTCATTTACTCTAATTTATATACATAGAACTGTTTAAAGATAAGAAGAAGTTTTTTTCTTGTGGGACTTATAACCTATATAGATATATTACATATAATATCTGTACCATAAAGATGGACATTTTATAGAGGATAAATGGTTGCAAGATTTCTCTATTTATGGGTACTAGTACATTTTTAACTGAAAGTGGACTGTGAAATGTTAAGAAGAGTTAAGTTCTGAAGGAAATTGAGACACAAAAACCATTCAAAAGATTAACAAATCTCATGATGGTTTTTTGAAAAAAACAAAACAAAACAAAATAAAAACTAAACCAAAATAAAACCCTAGCCAGTCTTGAGTCTCATCATCCTACGATTTCAGAACTATTGTGAATACAAAAGTAATCAAAGAACAGTCCTGCCCAGAAAGAGGAGTTATCCCTAAATATGGTGTCCCTGGAACAGGTGGCTCTCCCTGCTGGACCTCTTCCACGTGGGTGCTTTCTGCAGTGACTTTGTTGCCCTGCTCTTCCACTCTACCCAGTGTCCTGACCCAAGAGACAAGGGGTGTCTGCTGCTGTGTCCACACTTGGAGAAAGAAACCTTGATAGTGTCAGTACATTACAAGCTGGGCATGACAGCTCATGCCTGTAATCCCAGCAATTCAGGATGCTAAGGCAAGAGGATTGCTTGAGATCAGGAATTAGAGACCAGCTTGGACAACATAGTGAGACCCTCGTCTCTAAAAAAATAAAAATAAGTAAACAGCTGGGCCTGGTGGTGGGCGCTTGTATTTCCAGGTATTGTGGAGGCTGAGGTGGGAAGATCCCTTGAGCTCATAAATACAAGGCTGCATTGAGCTACGATCCCACCACTGGGCTCCAGCCCAGGCCAGAGTGAGGTCTTGACTCAAAAAAATACATTGTAAGCCTTTGCTCACTATGGGTTATTTATTATTTATTCAATGTGTATTTTGATTTTATTTTACTGGCAGCACAATAAACCAGGACATGCTGAAACTAGAAATCACATCCACTCTCCAGTGTTAAAAAGCCCAGTCTAGGGAGGTGAGAAGGAGACAGTCCTTATTAGCGTTGAGGATTCAGGGAGATCGAGATGGGCTGGGCAGGAAGGTTCTTACTTGGAACCTGGAGGATGAGCAATGACATTCCTCTCTCCACCTTAAAGTTCATCCTGGGCATCCGCCTCCTGGGAGCAGGAGCACTGCAAGCTCCGCCTCCCGGGTTCACGCCATTCTGGCTCAGCCTTCCGAGTAGCTGGGACTACAGGTGCCCGCCACCACGCCCTGCTAATGTTTTGTATTTTTTAGTAGAGACGGGGTTTCACCGTGTTAGCCAGGATGGTCTCAATCTCCTGACCTCGTGATCCGCCCGCCTCGACCTCCCAAAGTCCTGGGATTACAGGCGTGAGCCACCGCACCCGGCCTCTCCTTGGGATTTCTTTACTGGACACCAGCCTGAGTCAACTTTCCTGTAAAGCAAAAGAAGCGTGAGGTTGCTAAAGGAGGAATGGTGTGATCTCCACCTTTGGCGAGATCCCTGTCACCGTGTTCAGGCGAAGGGCCAGGCCTTACTCCCCATGCAGAGAGGAGGCTATGGCCATGAAGACGCCTGTGGAGAAGTGAGGACCCGCTCCCTCTACACTGATGGCCAAGAGCCTACAGATGGCGGAGAAGGCTTCCCTTCAGCTGTGTCCTATCAGGTTCTTCCAGGAGTCAAGGAGTAGACCTGCATGTTACCTCTGGTGATGTAAGCTGCATGCACACCTAGAAGTGAGGTCACCCCTGCTGGGGGTCCTGGGGCTGCTGGTTGTTCTGGGTGCTCAGTGTCCAGAAAAGAAGATGGGGAGGAGGCTTTGTGCAAAACAGTAACCATACTCTATAAATTATTTTTTCATTAGCCTTTGTGTCATAAAATAAAATATAGGACTCCAAAAGAAAAAAATGTCTAAAATTTGTGTCCTTTAATACAAAGTAAACACCCATTAATCACCAGGGATAGATGTTTGTGGGGCAAACCAGAAGCCCCATCATTTGCTCCAGCCCAGCAATAAACTCTTTCTTCCCTCAAATAAAAACACAACCTGACTTTTACGATCATCACTTCTTTGTTTTATTTTTATTTTTATCATCCAATATTATGATTTAGTTTTACCTTTAGAAATATGCTTTTGTTGTCTTTATTCTATAGATTCTTCCTTGAAATTTATATTGTGTGGTAGAGCTTCCCATAGTGTGCATTTTGCTGATTGCTCCCCAAGGCATAGTTTAATATGTATTTCTATTATCTGTATTGCCTCTAAATTGGTAATTGGCTATGGAGATCAGCTTCTATTCAGGCTTGGTTTCTTTTTCACTTGGACTTGTTTGATGGTGCTGTATTGTGTTCTTCCATCAAGAGGAAGAACCTCACATTAGTTTTTTCTTTTATTGTGTTGTTAATTGCCATTGCTATTCAATGGCTAAATCTGTTAATTCATGATGGGTTGCAAAAGAGTTATTATAGTCTCAGTCTCTCATTCCTTCTTCATTTATTATCTGAATAATTTCTAAGTAAGAGATTCACCCTCCTCTACTGTTTGTTTACTACTAGAAACTTGGTTTTTGAGAGACTAAGCCAATCATCTACTCACCTATGATCCAGCAATAGCACTCTTAGTTCTAAACCAATAGAAATGCATGTATGTGTGTGCCAAACTATATGAAAATATTATTCATAGCAGCACGATTTGTAAAATCTGTATACAACAAAATTGTCTATCAACAGTGAAAGGACAAGAAATGTGAGTTATTTATAAAGTGGAACATTGGACAGCTATGGGAGTGAACAGGCTACGACCACACACAGCGAGATGATGAGACCCAGGGTCATGATGGTGACTGTATAATGCCATTCAACTAGACCTGGCAGAACTCATCTGTATTAGAAATCAAGAGTGGCTACTCTAGGGTGGGGAGGGTGGTTTATGACTGAGTAGGACCCAAAGATGCCAGCAAAGTAGGCCTCTACATTAAAAAAAAAAGAGAGAGAAAAATTAAACAGAGAAATTTAAAAGTTTATAAATAATGTTTACTTGTATTCAAGAAAATTATAGCGACAGCCGCCAGATAATGATCAGCTCTAAAAAGAGAAGCTCAAGAAGCTCATGCCACAGCAGCTGGTACAGCTGAGGAGATCAGATAAACCAGCACAAGCATGGTCATGAAAGGGAGCTGCAGACATATGGTTTCCAGAGTTTCAAAATCCATATGACTAAAATCTATGTGATGCGTATTATATGATGACTGCCTCAAGACAGACAGGTGTCCACTTAGAGACACAGAGCTGTGACTTGCAGGGGCTGGTTGATTTTCTCAGAACTCATTAACCTAAATCCATTAGTTACCATCCTGTTTCCACTCCTATCATCACCTCAGACAACCCTGCGTTTAGCTCAAGATTCTTCCCTTCATCGTAACTGAAAGTCACTAATGACTGCAATCAATTTGAAATACTATAAGTAGGTAAGATTTCCTCAGTAAGTAAATGGTCTTAGCATATTTTTGAAGTCATAACTATAATCAAAGCCTGGGACATTTATTTGTTCTAAACAAGCAGTTATTCTTCATCCAGAATTACACAATAGAAGCTCTCATTCTTGCATTTCCCAACAGTTTGCCTTAGCCAGGAAAATAAACCCCATGGGTCTCTAGCATGACCACGGTGCAAGAATAAGGGGAAGGGCAGAGGTGAGAACTAAGTGCTCTTCTACAGCTACGGGTCTATCAAGGTAATCTTGAGAGGTACTTATCAACATGTGATGTGCCAGCAACAACATGAGGGAAGATAACCACGTGTTTCTAGGATAAGGCAAAGGCCCTGCTCATGGATTCATCCGTAATCTGAACACAGCACATGAAGAGTGAACAGCTGTCAATATCTACTTTCACCTCAATGTAAACTTTCAAAATTAAGACCAAGTGGAGCACAGTGCCCTCTGAAGCACTGTCTGTCACACACTAAGGAGCTAAGAACTCCTGTGGCCTCCTTTAGAACACAGCTCTTCCAGGACACACAATGAGCAGGCCTGCTTTAGCACCCAGGGCCCACATGCAGCTGCTCTGCCCAGAGCTGCCCAGCTCCTGGACCACTCACCTCTGCTCCTGCTGGCTGGTGCCCAAGCTGTAAGGGCTGGCAAATATTTTGAGTATTGGTCCCAAAGTCCCCTGAAGGTGAAAGGATCTTGTTCTTCATTTTCATTACTTCTAAGCACTGAGACCTCTTACAAGAATCATCCACAAGCATTTACTAAGTGAATGTTCACAGGAAACCCTTCCTGAAAAGGGTCCTTCCAACTTTACATTTGACAAGTGTGTACTAAGGCAATAAAACTATTCAACTGAGCATTCAAATTCACACAGAGGATACCACGCCAAGAAAATGAAAGCAGAAATATTGGATTCTCCTTATTTGTTAAACCTTTCCCTCTAGAACCAACAGCTTTTCAAACTCATAAAACACCCCAAAACAGTAAAACAATATCAATTACTCATCTGAAGATATCCACCTGAAACACAGTTATTAATCTTCAAAGGCCTAGCACCAGGCAGCTTCACACAGCACATCTGCAGAATTGTAATGATCAATAAGAGTAAACCCAAAATACACTAAATACTTTCATGGCCTACAGGAAAAAAAAAAAACGCTCTTTTCAGGACGATGTAATAGTTACATCCTATTTCTTCATGTGCAGCATGATATTCTATGCTTAATGGCATTTAAATGTTACACAGTAAATACTGAGAAAGCCCAGAATTTTTGGATGTGCAGAAGCAATATCACATCATTAATACAAAAGGTGCTCAGCTGCGGGATTATAATACCATTGAGTGCTGAGACCACTTGAAATCTTAAGTACATTCTTAGCATATGGTCTCCTGGCTGTCACCCAGCCTGGTACCAGCTACCCACCTGTTGCATAGAGCTAGCCCCAGCACTGCCTTGGTTGGGCCAGTTGTTTTTGTCAAACTCTAAGTCTCCCTCAGAATCCCTGTACTTCTCCACTGCAATGTATTGACAGGGTTGTGACCTTGTCCTTCCCAAGGGGCTCACTCTTGGCCTCTTGCTCACACAGATCCTGCACCTTTTCCAGTCAAATCCCCATTCCAGTAGCAGCAAGGAGATCACTTCTCGTATCACTTTTTGGTGGCTGTGCAGGTTCTTGACACTTTGCCTCAGCTACTGGTGGCAGTGTGGGGGCGAATGCATGGGGAAGACAAAAAAGAAGAACTGAGCCAAGAGGCCTGGTGGGGAAAGTGTGTGGCTGGAGGAGGGAATGCTGGACCCAGGGGCCAGTGGAGGGAGGGTGAGGAGGAGGGTGTGTGGAGCCAGCTGATATGAGGAAGGAGGCGGCAGGAGGATTTGCAGAAGGCAACAAAGGCAGTTTGTACTGTAAAAGGGGGAAGAGAAGGAGGTCTTGACGGGTTGTAATATGCAAGCACCTGTGCTGGGAGCATCCTGTAGTCTCCTGGAGCCATAAGTGCACAGGATTGGAACACAGCTGGGGTAAGGCAGGGAAGTGGGGGCCGCTCTTGAGGTCCATTTAGGGCCATGTGCCTCACTGAGGCAGAGGAGGGGTGGCACTCAAGCTCAGGGGCCTGGTTTGTGGGCCCATGTGGACATGCATCTTCAGCTGCCTAGGAAGGGTCGTGAGAATGGTTTGGAGTAGCTCGATAAGAGCATCCCTAACATCCATTGTATGGGACCTGCTGTCTAGGGACAGGGGTTCTTGCAGGATGCTCCATGGTACACACTGAGACAACCTGTTGCTGGGTCTAAGCTCTTTGTCATATGCCATCATATTCCACTCATGGTGCTTGTTTCTGGCTTTTGTAATCCTTTTCACATCATAAGTGGTGCCATCTATGTGGTTTTGCTACTTTTGATGCCTTCTGTCTTTCCTTTTGTCTTCTGTGTCCTGCAGCACTTCTTCTTTCCAGAGGTCAAATAAATGGGAAGGATCAGTATAGAACTTCAGCCTGTCTTTATCATCTCCATGTGCTCTCATGCTATTCAGGGGAGGTGGTCAATCACTCTGATTGTAAATGTCAGCAGCAGGAGTAGGAATGCTGCTCTTTGAAACTGCTTGCTGGTCTTGGGCTGGGGAACTTTTGAGGGCTTTTTCCATGTTGATGTCCTGTGGTGACACCTCTTCCACTGCTGAATCCAGCTGAGTGACTTTGACCATGAGGCAACAAATTCTAAGAGAATTTGATCTAATGTGGAAGTAGTTAGCCTCCTTAAATAGCTCACCAAATATGTCTTCAGCATGTATGTTCAGATTGCTTAGCTGGTGCGTAATAGTGACAAGATTGTTGTTGGTTACACTTTCAAGTCACTGGTAATCCCTTCAGGCAGAGTTCCCTGGTGCAAATGCTGGGATTAGATGCTCCTCTTCACGGGAGGCATGGCTTATAATGTTCTAATTGACTAATGGCTTCAGAAATTTCCTCAGGAAGCATCACCACTTTGATTCAGATACCAGCAGTAACTGCAATCAAAATTAAAATGATCAGTCCCGCTGATGTAGAGGCAGAGATTGCACTGGTAGCTCCCTGATCTTACTCCACACCAGAACACACATCCCTGGGGCTAGCTAAGTTGCCTCAGGCCAGGCCAAGGCCTTGGTCACCCTATTTGTAATTTTCTCTGCAGTTATTTTGCTTTCATTTATTGAACACCTTAGATATGAGCTAAAATCCCCCACCAAATGTGGGAAACTTTCAACTATTATTTTCTCAAATATTTTTTTCTGATCCTGTGTCTTCTTTCGAGGATCCACTTGCATATCTGGTCACCTGCTTTATATTCTCTGATGGGTTCATGACGTTCTCTTCATTTTTTTCTTTAATCTTATTTCAATCTGTGTTTTGGATTTTAGAATTGAGCACATTCTGGAGATTTATATTCAAAGGCACAGGCTTGTTCTTTATTCTGCCATCTCAAAACTTCTGTGGACCTCTTCCAGAATACTTTCATTTTCTTTTTTTTCTGTTTGAGAATTTCCACTTAGTATCTTACGTGGTTTCAGCAGGGGTTTCTGGGTGTGTGTCCTGCATCTGTGTAATTTAGAGGTTGACCAAGTATTTGGGTCATTTATACTCAGATTTTGTGATTCAACTTCATTGTGGTTGCTTTGTTTCTGGAATTCTCTTTGAATTTCCAATTGTTTTGTTAGCCTCAAATCCTGCCTTTTCACCTCTCAAGCCAGTAAGATTTTTGCTTTCTTCTACTGAGCTCTGTGCAGGTTGGCAAATGCACTCAGTCCATGTTACTGAAGACTTGCAGACCTCACCAGGATCATTTATCTCTTTGGAGGGTAGACCTCCCTCTAGTTTCTTTCTGGTTTTTCACCAGATTCCCAAGTGGCCCACACCCATGCAGAGTTTAGTGTTCAACTAGGGATGAGCATAATTTGCATTCACATTGTTGATCTCAACTCTTCTGCAGCTCTCTTTCAACATTCTCATTTACATTTCTAGCTGATTTGGGCTCTGAACTCTATAAACTGCCCATATTGAGCCACTAGGGCTGCAGTTATCTGCTGGGAGGCTGAAGAGCACTCATAGGTAAGAAGGAAAGGCCACCAACTTGCAGTCCTTACCTAAGACAGAAGGAGTCTTAAACAAGAAAGCTCTTATCACATATTGCTTGCCTTTGTTAATTTTCCAGTGACTTCAAATGTTTGTTTTTAGTATTTAGTACAGTTTTCATGTTGCTGTTGGAGGAAAACTTGCTGGTCTATCTCTTCATGTTGCCATAACCAGAAGTTCTACCCTGAAAGAGACTTTTGGGAGAGAAGGTCACAGTCCACAATTCAATCTTCTGAGACAAATATGGATCCAGGCACCAGAAACTGTCAAGTTAGATTTCTAAAATTAAAATAAGATTAGAGCTGGGTGCAGTGGCTCATGTCTGTAATCCCACAACTTTGGGAGGCCAAGGTGGGTGGATTGCTTGAGCCCAGGAGTTCAAGACAAGCCTGGGTAACATGACAAAAACCCATCTCTACAAAAAACACAAAAATTAGCCAGGTGCGGTGGCACACAGCTGTAGTCCCGGCTACTTGGAAGGCTGAGGTGGGAGGATCACCTAAGCCTGGGGCGGTCGAGGCTGCAGTGAGTTGTGTTCGCACCATTGGACTCCAGCCTGGGCAAGAGAGTGAGACCATTGTTTGAAAAAATAAAGATTGAATGAATAATAAAAGAAGATTAGGCCTGGCATCTGTGACCCCAAGGTTCTATGGGAATCACTGACTTCATACAACCTACAATGATAAAGAAGGACACCCTACATATATATGACTGGCCTCTTTAGTATTGGAGAGAGCACATTCCATAGCTCATAACTTTCCGACAGTCTGTGAATCAAGTCACCAAAACTGCAGCTAAAGTTGAATGGAGGCCATGGAAGTAGTTCAGTGAAGTACAAAACAAGCACTGCTTTTGTTCTTGATTCTTTCCCCAAACAATGCACTCACATGTTTTTAATAAATTCTACAGCCAGTTGTAGCTATTGGCAATGAGACCTCCCATTATTGAGGCCCTGGTCTTTTTAACTTGAGGAATTCCAGCAAATCTAAGGAGTACAAGCTCTTTGAGAAATAACTGCATGATATTATTAAACTCTAATGAGAACAGATGATTTCACCAATGAAAAAGTATGACTTCATATCCTGCAAGGGTATTTCTCTAATCCAAAATCCTATGAGCTAGTACAAGTACAGAAACATTCCATAATAAATGGAAATGTCATTTTGATCCAGGCAAAAGTCAAGCATATCTGCCATTTGGCCCTAAATGCTTATTTGGATATTGTTGAGTGTATGTGTGTGTGTGTGTGTGTGTGTGTGTGTGTGTGTGTGTGTGTGTTTGTGTGTGGCAGTCATAGGACTCATTGCCCAAGTTTCAGGGTTTGGGGAAAAAGTTCCATTCTTTTTCTGAATTTGAGTAATAGCTTCTGGCTTACTACTGGGCCCTGGTAGATTCTGAATTCTATGATCATGATACAGAAAATGACCAAGTGACTTGAGATGCCCATTATGACCTGAGTTTTATCAGGTCACTCATGCTCACCAGCCCTCAGTCTGCAAGGGGAAATGGTATACACAGCATCAGACTTTAGCAGGTTCCATAAGGCCAGGTAAGTTGCCTAATAATTTGTACTATACTCCTAATGTTCTTATTACCACTGGAGAGTCCACTCTCCCTTGTCTCATTATTGAGGTCTTGAGGAGTTCCCTAAGGACAATTGACTGTAGAAGGAAAAAAATTTGAGTATGCTTGGATACCCCAGAGTTAACTGTCAGGGCATTAGAGTCTCTTTCAGGAATCATCATTAAGAGTAATGGAAATAAAAATACTTCCAGTGAGAAGATGTTCAATTAGACCATCTGGAAGTGCAGTTTACCAAAAGGAGAAACGTCTTACTGTTGGGTCCTAATCAATGCACAGCAGTAGCTAGTAGTTTGCTTAGATAGTCAGTGACTTTAAAGGAATAAGATGGTAAGGTTTGTGATAAGGAGCGTTGGGGAGGAGATTTGAACCACTCACATGGCACATTTAGGTAAACATACCTACCCTCATGCTAACAAAAATGGATGGTGAAAAAATAAAACACAATGTAGAAGCATTGAGAGGCTTAAACTTTAATAAAAATTGTCAAATCCTAAATCACGGAATTGTGCATTTACTTTTTTTGCTGAGCTTATTTACTTAATGTAGGATAATTAAGGTTTAGTTTTCATGGCCTCCTAAGGCATTTGGAATAGAAGACAGAGTTCAGGTAGCACTCAGAGTGGGAAATTTAATAGAGTGTTCTCCTCATTTCACCAGGATCCCAAAGCCAGCTCCTCAGTATAAGGAAAACATCCTTGCTTGAAGGTCTCCCTAGAAAGTCACCTTGGTGCTGAGTGGAGAGGGGCAAAACCTTCTGCTGAGATTAAAGAGAAGTGGATTTGCAGCCCGAGTTCACACTCCCTGGGTGGTCTGAAAATCATCAAGCCATGAATTTATTTTAAAGTAGTGCAGACTCCAAGGAACCTTGGAAAATCAAGCAAAACTTCTCTGGAAAATTTCTACTGTCATTGGCACTCTGAAAATTCCAAAAAATCATTACACCAGCAAAAGGAGCACTTAACAGTTAAGAACAACAACAGAGAACAATGTTCATAAGAGACAAAGCACCGTGAAAGAACAAGAAAATACAACAGACAGCAGAATCATACAATCATATAACTGAGAAATCAGAATAATTGTATAGGATATAAAATTGCTAAATGGGCTATGATTAAAGAACAGATTGTTAAATACATTTAGTGACTATAAAACTATAAATAATCTTCAGAAAAATTTGAAGAGACAAACACATAACACTTAAGCATGAAAATATAATAATAAAATTTAAATCTCAATGAATTTTGAAGACAAACAATTTAACACAAACACACCTAGTAAAGTACAAGAAGTTCTAAAGAATGTACTTTAGTCACAAAAAGATATCCCAGGTAGAAAGTATGAGGTGAAAGAAAAAAACAAACAAAAAATAAAGGTAAATGGATGGTTAAATATAAATTGAGGTTTAAAAGGATAGTGTATATATTGAGAATCTATAAATATTGTTAAATGAAATACAAATTATTTTATCTTTTTCCAGGTCTAATGTTGGATTTCTTTTCTTCATATTCTGATTAAAATTTCAAGATAAACTTCTCACTCATAATGTGTCCCATTCTGGTTTTGTTTTGTACATTTCAGAATAATGCATATAAAAGAATATTCTGCGGGTCTTTTTATGGTATCTTTCCAAGCTATTGTTGGATTGTCCAGTACTTCACGTTCTCCAACCTTGTAAGTAACGAATGTACAAATTCAACTGTACATTTTTACTAGTGGGCAGTTTTCCACAATATGAATGCCATTCATGTAGTTGGCGGGACCTGCCAGTGTGTCTTTCAGAACCACGGACAGATCTACATGTTCTGGGATGTAGGGAGCTAGAGTGCTCTCTCAACTGGATGCAATGGAATGCCAGGGAGGAAAGTTTAAGATAAACTCTAGTCACCACGGAATTGTGATTTTTAAGCATAGTAAGCATAGTCTGAAATACCACATTCTTTCCAACCCCTCTCTGCACCCAATACGTCATTAGCCCTGTATTTTATACTCACTGTCATAAAAGAACCTGTTGGGGAAGGGGAGGTAGCTTTAGGTCAGTCTTGGTACAATCATACAGTGGCTAAATTAGTAGATCTAGTGTAAAATGGCCTGGAACTGAATTCTAGCCTCATATCTTCAAAATTATGGAACTTTGGGCAAGTAACTTAACATCTCTGTACCTAATTTTCTTGAACAAGTTACAGTTTACAGATTTCATTTATTTATTGTGGATAATAACATCCTTCTCATATGGTTGTGATAAATATTGAACAAAATAATCCATGTAGGTACAAAAACCAGTGCCTGAAATATAGCAAGAGCCTTTTAAATGCAGCCATTATTGTTATTATGGTTATTCTTATTGTCGTTTTTCACAGAATACCTTCTGGTTCCCACACAGGATCTCTGAGGACCTGTTGGATCAGCAGCTCTTTTGTAAGATTCGTTGATATTGTGAAAATTCTCTAATCACAGCCCAGCTACAATTTTACAGAAGTTCCCAATACCTTATCTGAAGGTTTCTTACAGTCAGATTATGAGTCTTGGTTGAAGGCATCTTCTGGAGTCATGGTAACACTCCGGGTATTCTGGGAAAACAGTGATTTCAAAATACAGTTTGTCTTGTTGAGACTAGGAATTTGGAAAATTCCAGTCTGTGAAGTGAAGGGAGAGGAGATACTTCCCTAGCAGGAGGAAGAGAATGTACCAAGTACAGGGCAGTTAAAGAAATGTTTGTTTGATTTTTTTGCCAGTGGTTATATCTGTGGTTTCATTAGTTAAATGCCTTATGTGGTACATTCTTCCCAATAAGTATTTTTAAAAGCCTCTGAAAGGAAGGAGCTCTTGCTACCACCATCCTCTCAGTCAAGTGGGAATAATCTGGTGAGCATAGCAGATGCCAATCAGTTCATAAAAAGCTCAATCTTCAAGTTTGCAGAATTAATTCTAAAAATGAGAAGAGTATTGGACATAGAATTTGACATATATGTTGCATGCAGAAGCTGATATTTTAGCTTTATAGTTTACAGGTCCCTCAGAATGTTTTATACTTTTTTATCATAACTGGGAAGCTGTCACTTTAATCTTTGAGTAGGACTAAGGTATGAAAAGAGCAATGATGGTGTGCTCAATGGCTATATTACTAAACACAAGAATGTTTTCAGCTCGATCTACCTGAGCTACATGGAGATTTGATAACTAAATATAAAGTGAATGGAGATAAATGCCTTACTTACCTTCTGCAGATGACACCTTCTAGTTAGCAAGTGGCAGATCCAGGACTACTGGGCTAGGAAGCTGCTTGGGCTGGAGTACAAGGGCAGTTTCAGGGATAGAGAAATTAACAGGCAGAGAGGGAATCTCTGAGACTAGGAAAGACTAACTGCAGCTGGGCCTAGATGATCTGAGATCCAAATGTAGCTGTTGATCTTAAATTATGCAAAGTAGCAATGGAACTGTCAGTCAGTCAGCATGTCTAGCTAGTCAGACAGATCAGGAGTTTAATCACTGACGTTATGGGAAATCAGAAAACTCTGGGATGGCTGGGAGAATATGTGCATATAGACATCTGTAGAGTGGGTGACAAATAAATGAAACCACCTAAATATTTACCCCAGGGGAGTAGGTGCATATAACATACTATGGAACAGCATTAAAATGATGAGTTAAACCATTTTTTCTGTGAAATTCAAAGGATGTTCATGATATAATAGAAATAAAAATATCAAATGGTAGGGCACTGTGAATACAATGTAATTTTTCAAAAGCTACAATGAGCAATAAGATGAAATAAAAGTCATCTAGATTAAAAAGCAAGAGGTAAAACTATCTCAATTGCAGATGATAAAATCTTATATAGAAATACGAAAGAATTCACTAAAAACAAGCTTAGCAACTACTAAACCACTAATACTAAATTAGTTTAGCACATTGGTAGGCTACAAGATCAAAATACAAAAATTGAGTGTGCTTCTATAGAGTATCAATGCATTAATACAAATGTTATTTAAAAATCCAACTTACAACAGCATTAAAAAGAATGAAGTCAGAAGAAAATTGAGGGCCCAGCAATACTCTTCACTTATATGGTTAATTGGTTTTATAAAACAGTGCTAATATAATTCAGTGAGGGGAAGAAATTATCTTTTCATCAAACAGTGCAGAAACAACAGTCTATCCCTATGCAAAAGAATAAAGCTGGATCCCTACTTCACACCACATATAAAAATTACCTCAGTGTATCAAAGACCTAAATGTGAGACTTAATATTAGAGAACTCTTAGAAGAAAACATAAGCATAAATCTTCATGACTTTGGATTAGGTAAAAATACCTGATCTTAAATGATACCAAAGGCACAAGCAAAAAGAGGAAATAAAAGATAAATTGAACATCATCAAAATTAAAAATGTGTGAGTCTAAGGAAACCATCAAGAAAGTGAAAAGAAACTCATTGAATGGGAGAAAAGTTTTGCAAATCTTATATCTGGCAAGGAAAGGACTTGTATCTAGAATATATAAAGAATGGTTGTAACTCAATATAATAATATTAATAATAAGATAATAATAAACAATAAATAATAATAATAATAATAATAATAAGACAAATAATATACAAAAGGCCCATAAGCACATAGAAACATGTTCAACATCATTAACCATCAGGGAAATGCACATCAACCCAAAAATGAGATACTATTTCCCACCCACTAGAATGGCTATAATTAAAAAGATAATAATTAGTGTTGATGAGAATGTGGAGATACTAGAATACTCACACTTTGCTGGTGGGGATTTAAGAGACATAGCCCCTTTAGAAAGCAGGCTAGCAGTAGCTCAAATTTGTGAACATTAAGTTATTACATGACCCAGCAATCCCCTCCTATGATACAGTATACCCAAGAGAAATGAAAACATGAGTTCACATAAAAACCTATATGCCATGTTTATAGCAGCATTATTAATCACAATCCAAATGAGAAGGACCAAAATGTCACCAACTAATAAATAAATTGTGATATATCCATACAATGGAATGTAATTCAGCGATGAAAAAGATGTGAAGTACTGATACAAGCTACGACCCACACAAACTTTGAAAATGTTCTGGTAAGTAAAAGAAGACAGACACAAAAAGCCACATGTTGTATAATTTCATTACATAAAATGTTCAGAATAGGTAAATCTGTAGAGTTAAAACATAGGTTGGTAGTTTCTTAGGGCTGGGGTTTGGATATGGATTTTTCTGCAGGGCTGGGAGGAGATAAAAGGATCTGTAATTGATTGTGGTAATGGAGGCACAACTGTGAATATTCTAAAAGCCACTGAATTGTATATTTTGAATGTGCGGATTTTATACTATTTAAATTATATCTCAAGTTGCCCTGAAAATGATTAAATTACATATAAAACTTATAGTCATTACAGCTCAACAAAAGCTACCAGATAAAAACACTCACTATGGTTTGCGTGCAAGTGAAGAAAGTAGACATGCAGAGAGTAGGCTGATACAATAGTAATCACCTTAGTTAAGTGGGTTTGGATTTAGTGAAAGGAGAGATTTAAAAGTATATTTATGCATATTTTGATTGTTTCATTTCCTACTGTGAGCAAGAATTATTTTTACACTAAAATTTAAAAAATAGAAAGTTACAAATCTTGAAAGCTCTGCAGTCAAATAAACATAGTAACAAGTGATAATGAGCTGTCTGGAATGTCTTCCTAGAGAACTGGCTGAAGCACATGCATGCAAAAGGAAGGCAATGGCTGAAGAATCAAGGCAGAACTGCAGTGGTAGAAGAGAAGAAAAATGTAAACATGGAGATATAAGACAAGAAGATGACTGATGAAGGAAGTGGACATGAATACTGTGAAAACCTCTTGGGGAGTCAGAAATGACCGGGTCTACGTGGGAGGGAAACTGGATTACAGCCCAAGATGGCCAGCCATCAGGGACAGTGTCCCGAATCAGATTCTGTCCCGAATCAGAAGGGCTGTCTAATCATTCCCTTTCTTCTCCTTCCAACACCCCAGCAAGATTATTGCCTAATTTACAGCCATGCACATTGAAGAATCAGTACAATTTGGAGACTTTGAGACAACAGACAGAAAATTTTTGAGCTCCTCTGGGCATTAGTGAGCTGTTTTCAGAAAAACAGACTCACTCTGGTATTTCAGGAATAAATAGAAATAAGAGCATACACTAATGTTTGGAAACCACGGGTAGCAAATATTGGTGAAGTCATGTGACAGGCAGAATAACGGTCTCCTAAATATGTCTGTGTCCTAATCCCTGGAACTTATAAAAATGTCTCCTAATAGGGCAAAAGGAAATTTTCAGATGTGATTAAGCTGAGGCTCTTGAGATGGGAAGATTATCCTGGATTATCTGGGCAGGTTCGATGTAATCACAATAGTCCTTATAAGTGAAAGGAGTAGAAAGCAGCATCAGAGTTAGAGCTGTGATAACAGAATCAGAGGTCAAAGTGATGTGACTGCTGACTTGGAAGATGGAAGAAGAGACCACAAGCCAAAGAATGCGGGCAGCCCCAAGAAGCTAGAAAGGGCGAGGAAACAGATTTTCCTTTAGAGCCTCAGAAGAAATGCAGCTCTGACGACATGTTAATTTTAGCCCATAGTGACCCATTTTTGACTTCTTACCTCCAGAACTATAAGAGAATACATTGGTGTTGTTTTAAGCCACATAGTTGTGGTAGTTTGTTATAGCAGCAGTGGGATACTATAATAATACCAGTCACCATTGGAGCTCCTGGAAGCTGCAGTAGGGAGGTCAGGGAAGCATATACTGAAGACTTCAGCTTGAAGCATGGATGGGAGGTTCTCAGAATCCTGCTGCGAGATTGCTATATTCTCCAGAACCTATGAGGAAGCTCTTATCACTCATCTTAGTCCGCACAAGCAAAGCAGGTGGGTCTCTAGCCTAGCAGGGAAGCCACTGAGAACCTGACATCTGCCTGCTCCTCCACCTGCAGCCACCACTGATGGGTACAGGTCTGTCCCGCCATCTCTCCAGGGCCCCATTTCTTATGCAAGTCTCTCTCACTGGAAAATGTAAACTGGAACTATCCAGGGAAGGGGATCCTGGGAGATATAGTGCCTGGCTTCTCCTCTGCAGAGAAGATGCTAGAGGGGAGATGAGGTGATACTGGGTTTTTAACAATGCAACACATGAGTTACTAACAGTGAATGAAGGGGGACTGGCTGACCTCAGTTTGACAAGCAAATATGCCATTAGCTGATGCAAACCATTGGTATATCTATGAGATTTAGTAATTTTAGCAAATTATTTATTGGAGCAAGGATGTATCAAAAACTATGAAAAGTGCAGGTTTAAAAAATGTCCAAAAAATTTCATATACAAATGAAATAAATTCTTTTTTTTAAATTATACTTTTAAGTTCTGGGATATATGTGCAGAATGTACAGGTTCATTACATAGGTACACATGTGCCATGGTGGTTTGCTGCATCCATCAACCCGTCATCTAGGTTTTAAGCCCCGCATGCATTGGGTATTTCTCCTAATGCTATCCCACCCCTTGCCCCCATCCCCTGACAGACCCCGGTATGTGATGTTTCCCTCCCTGTGTCCACATGTTCTCATTGTTCAACTCCTGCTTATAAGTGAGAACATGCGGTGTTTGGTTTTCTGTTTCTGTGTTAGTTTGCTGAGAACGATTGTTTCCAGCTTCATCCATGTCTCTGCAAAGGACAT
This sequence comes from Homo sapiens, assembly GCF_000001405.40. Classification (NCBI taxonomy): domain Eukaryota; kingdom Metazoa; phylum Chordata; class Mammalia; order Primates; family Hominidae; genus Homo; species Homo sapiens. The sequence continues at coordinate 2,642,129 of NT_167247.2, forward strand.
TAACTCATTCTTTTTTATGGCTGCATAACATTCCATGGTGTGTATGTGCCACATTTTCTTTGTCCAGTCTATCATTGATGGGCATTTGGATTGGTTCCAAGTCTTTGCTATTGTAAATAGTGCTGCAGTGAACATATGTGTGCATGTGTCTTTATAGTAGAATGATTTATAATCCTTTGCATATATACCCAGTAATGGGATAAATAAATTCTTAACTATGCTGCTATTTTATTTATTTAAAAATGTGAGTTCGTGGTCTGAGTAATTTACCTCAGTATGACTCAAGAAGGGCACTGGAAGTCCACTGATCTGGCCAGAACAGAACCACATATATGAATGGAAAAAGTGTCTTGTGTCTGCCAATCCCAGGGGCTTACAGGATGCTGTCTAGAATAGGCTGGCTACAGCAACTCCTAGTTAAGCCAGAAGTTTGGAATGAGTTCAATTTTGGGGGATTAAATTCTAATGAGAGGCAGAAAACAGGAAAGTTTATGCTTTTCCGTGCTGATCAATTGGCCCCATAAACATTTTCTTGCATATATTTTTGTAATTTCAAAAAAACTCGTGTTTTATCAGTAATTTCTTAGAGGTGCACACAGGGAGAGATGAGTATAATTGTGAAGCTAAGTTTTGTAAAGCACAGGGATGGCTAAGAAAGGGAAGGAACTGATCCCAGAATCCCACAGAGTTAATCAGTAACCCTCAGCCCAAGTACGTGATGGCTACTGTTGAGCTTCAAAGGAAAAGCGGCCATCTGAGGAGCAAACAGAATTGCATGAAGAATAAGAGTGTAGATGGTGTCCCAAACACAGTGCTGAGATTCATGTAGACACACAGAAGGAAGCAACTGTGTAAGTATCCAGAGTCCCATGAAGTAGGGATTTCAATCCTCCAAGCCACCCTCTCCCATCTGCTAACAAGGATCAAGGTTTTTGTGGATGTAACTGGCTGTGGTTGATGGGAACCCCTGTGATCTCTATGGGGTTACACATAGCTTCGGAGAGGGGAATGAACACACACACAGCAAAGGGAAACCATCTGGGCCTTTACTGAAACCATTGGCTGACCCCTGGGTTAAAGTACGTATGTTCTGAGTACTGGTGTTAATTACGTAAAGACCTTGCTCAGACCCCATGTCACCTCGCACTGCTGGACCTTTGCCTTGACCTCGACTCTCACCAATGACCTTATGGGTAGTTTCTATGACCAGCTGACTTAAGAGGAAAATTCTGAGCTTCTTCATAAACATGCCAGCTTAGTGTGTTGGTGTGAGGCAGCAGTAGAGTGTGTCTGCAGTGTGGGCAACTCAGGAATGAGTAGAGACAGCATTGAAGAGGGTCCTGCCAATAGGCAGGTGGGGCTCTGATTCACCCACTTTGTGTAGACAGAAGTGGCCTGAGGTGAGAATATGCACAGACTTATAGGCAACAGCAAGTGGCTTAAATAGCAGGTCAGGGGCCTGGAAGGAGCAAGATTGGAAGATCAGGAACAGGAATATCTGGAAAGAGGCATACAGTAGACACAAAGTGCTTGGATCTTTTGTATCAGATGTTACTACTCAGCAAAAATTACCCTCTATACAAGTAGTCTAAACAACCAGGTGTCCAGGATGAATCATTCGGTACACATCAGCCAGCCTCTGTCCTTAACCATCCCAGTGCTCATGAAACAGGCTCTTGAAAGCAGTTATCTATGGTGGAAGAGATGCACTGTGGGTGGGTCCCAAGGCTTGGGCTGCCTTCAGCATGGCTGACGTGGTTATTGTCACAATCTACTTTCCAGCGATAAATAAACTCCAACAGATTACCTTCGCTTATGGAAGCCAATGAGCAATTTGATGGCAAATTGATTCTATTCTTACTTTTTCACAATGAAAAAGGCAGGGGTTCTGTCAGATTTAGGTTGCCTTGTATTAGCGGTATGAGTTTGTTCTTTCTTCCCACAGTGCCACACTCAGAAACATTATCTAAGGGCTCACATATGTATGATCTTCTAATAGGGGACCCATATATCATTGCCCCAGACTAAGGGACCTACTTTATAGCGAAGGATGTCTGGTAGTGGGCACATGACCATGAGATCTCCTGGTTCTACCCCATACTGCATCACACACTCTGCGAGCTGATAGAGCAGTGGAATGGTCTCTTGAGGGTGCAGCTGGGTTTTATCTTGAAGATCACATCCTATCAGGATGGGTAATGTCCTTCAGGATGAAGCATACACTAAGGTTACGCCAGCAGCTGTTATATGGTGCCAAGTCTCCAACAGGTAGAGTAAGTCTCTAACCACCAGTGCTGGAAGAAGGAATGACTATACTCACCAGCACTTCCGGTAACCTGCGTGGGGTGTTGGTGCTTCCCATCCCCTCAACGTACTCAGCTGGTCTAGGAGTTTGGGATCCCAGAGAAGGAAGTTCCTACCATGGAACAGAGTACAAGTTACATTACGTTTAGGGGTATGTTTGTTACCTGTTCAATTTGGGTTCCTCATGCTAGGAGGCTGTTGGGAAAAGGAGGGGTTACTGTATAAGCAGGGATAATTGATCGTGATTATTATGAGGAGCAGAACTTTAATTTCTGTCTTAATTTCTTGCTGAAACTGGTAACAGTGGTTGCATCCAGGCAAGGAATTTGGAAGAATTGTGGATGGGGTGGAGAAGGAAATTTGCGTTGCACACTATACACATTTTTATTATTATAATCTTTTAAATATTGTTCTTGTATTAGCTATTCAAAATAAATTTTAAATTACAAATCAACCCCACATTTATTTAAAAAAATTTTTTTATTTCAATAGTTTTTGGGGGACAGGTAGTTTTTGGTTATGTGTGTGAGTTCTTTAGTAGTGAATTCTGAGATTTTGGTGCACCATCACCCGAGCAGTGTACTCTACCCAGTGTTGACTTTTATCCCTCACCCTATTCCCAACCTCCACCAAGAAGCCCCTAGAGTCCATTATGTCATTTTGCATGTTTTTGTGTCCTCATAGCTTAGCTCTCATTTATAAGTGAGAACATTCAGTATTTGGTTTTTCCATTCCTGAGTTACTCCACTTAGGATAATGGCCTCCAGCTCCATCTAAGTTGCTACATAAGGCATTATTTCATTCCTTTTTATGGCTGAGTAGTAATCCATGGTGTACATACACCACACTTTCTTTAGCCACTGGTTGGTCAATGAGCACTTAGGCTGGTTCCACATCCCTGCAATTATGAATTGTGTTGCTATAAACATGCGTGTGCATGTGTCTTTTTCATATAATGACTTATTTTCCTTTGGGTAGATACCCAGTAGTGGGATTGCTGGATCAAATGATAGATCTAGTTTTAGTTCTTTAAGGAATCTCCATACTGTTTTCCATAGTAGTTGTACTAATTTACATTCTCACAACCAGCAGTGTAATCCATCCATGCCAACATCTATTGTTTTTTGACTTTTTAATTAATGCCATTTTTTTTTTTGAGACAGAATCTCACTCTGTCTCCCAGGCTGGAGTGCAGTGGTATGATCTTGGTTCACTGCAACCTCCACCTCCCAGGTTCCAGCAATTCTCCTGCCTCAGCGTCCCGAGTAGCTGGGACTACAGGTGCATGCCACCACGCCCAGATAATTTTTTGTATTTCTGGTAGAGACAGGGTTTCACCGTGTTAGCCAGGATGGTTTCGATCTCCTGATCTCGTGATCTGCCTGCTTTGGCCTCCCAAAGTGCTGGGATTACAGACTTGAGCCACCGCGCCCAGCCAAATTAATGCCATTCTTGCATGTATAACGTGGTATCTCATGGTGAACCCCACATTTATTTAGCAAACATTTATTAGGCAGTTACTATGTGTCAGGGTCTCCTAGCCCTCAATGAGTGAAACATCAAAGATTCCACAAGGGGACTAAAAAAACAGCTAAATGCAGGCTACTATAATTAGTGCGGGAAAACTGCTTCCAAGAGGATGCAATGTCTAAACAGAGAACTGGATGAGGAACACAGTTAATCCAGGTGAATGGCAGGAGAAATCTTTTAGGGAATCAGTATCACAAACAAAGGCTCAGAAGAAAGAACACACAGGGAGTCTAGGGGAACTGTCAGCAGTTCAGGGTAGAGATTAGAAAAAGAGGAGCACAGGGGCAAAAAGCAAGCTTGGAGCAGTGAGCAGATTCAATGACTAAGGCTTGTGGGGTTGGGGAGAACCTTTGGCTTTTATCCGAGGACAATGTGCAGCACTGGCAGCACTGAAGTCAGGAAGAACCTTGATCAGATCTGCATTCCAGAATATCACTTTGGTGAAGTGTGAAGAATGAACTGAGAGATGCTAGACTGAATACATGGAGAAGAAGAGGTTCGGGGAAACCCTGGCGGGAACTGTAGGGAGAATGTTAGGATGGAGGAAAAGGTAGAAAGGACCCTGAGAGATCTGAGTAATCAAGACCCAGTGTTTCACACATGGAAAATGAGGTGGAAAAGGAGAAACGTCCCCATGTGAACAGCACCCCTTCTGGAAAAATGGCATAAAACAAGGGAATTTGGCCCATGACATAAGAGGTCCTTGGGCTCACATGGTATTGAGTGATCAGGGAGGAGTTTAGTTGAGTTCACCTCTACAGACAGGTATTGAGTGCCAGGTATGCTGTCATCAGGGTCATAAGGAAATCAAAGGTATCTGCCTCATATCTTTGTGACTTACATGTCTGATCCTGCTTAAGAACTATGCCAATCCCCGACTTTCCAGGACCCCCAGTAATTTTGTCGTGTCCATGTGGGAAGTGAGCTGAGGCTTGGCAAGAGGATCTTAGCCCATATGGTCCAAAAAATAGTAGAAATATTTCTTTAGAAGACACAAATTCCCTAATTAAATGGACTAATTTATCCATACAAGAGAAATAAAATCACTAAAAAATAAACTGAGTGAAGGAAAAGAAATCAATAAAGTGTAATTACCAGAAGTTCGTGGGATTCTGCATGAAAACAAGCTTGAAGAAATAGTGAAAGCAGAAGATTTGCCTAACAGTATGACACTCGAATGAAAAAAAAACCAGATAGGCTTAGTGGTGTTGCTTCTTTACAGATGCAGGAGGTTTGAAAAGTAATAGAGAAAAACATTTGGAGAGAACGCCATCTTAGCTTTCACACAGAATGCAAGACCAGCCTTTCCAGTGGGCGTCTCTTGATTTTTGTTTCCAGGGATTCGATTTCATAAACACAGCTCAGCTCTGCAGATCATCTGGCCCAGTCCAGGACCCGGGTTTGTAATGATCTTGTTCAGTCATGGTCCAGCCTGTGTATAGAGACCCTAAGATGATGCCCGGTGATCCTGTCTCTTGGCATCTCATCCAGCTGAGAACCGATGGGGCCTAAACTTGCTTCTAACCAATAGAAAGTGACAAAAATGATGTCACTTCCGTAATGAGGTCATATTACAGCCGCACTTCTGTATTACTAGATGACTCTGTCTTCTACCTTCTTTGTTTGCAAGTTTTGATGAAGCAGAAAGGCCCATGTGGCAAGGAACTGAAGTCAGCCTCTGGCCACCAGCCAGTAAGGAACTGAGGCTGTCAGTCTAACAGGCATGGAGGAATGAATCCTGCCAACAATTGCTTGAGCTTGGAAGTGGATCCTTCCCCAGTTCAGCCTCCAGATAAGACCCAGCCATGGCACTCTGATGAAAATCATGTGAGAAAGCTGCATAGCTGTGTCTGGATTCCTGACCCATAGAAATGTGGGATAATACATGTGTGTTGTTGTAAGCTGCTAAGTTTGTGGCAATTTCTTACATAGCAATGGATAGCTGAAAACACCTCCCACAGCTTTCACTGAGTTAAGCGACCCTTGGGGCCAGTTAGAACTTATCTCATCCCCTTCCCTGTGGCAGCCCTTATCTTTCTCATAGGTTGACATCCCACTTTCTCTTTACCAGTGTGAATGTCAAGTTCTCTTACTATCTCCGTCACTCTCCTCTCACACCATCCAGGAGGCCCCACTAGGGAGTGGCAGGCAGAGAGGAGGAAGTGTGGGGTGTGGGTAGACTCCTCCTCATGGTTCAACCTTGAGTGCAGGTATTACCAGTTGGAAGAAGAGAGGTCAGGAACCAGTAGGGATTGGATGGAGATGAGTGAACACCCCACCACTCTCAGGCCCATGCAGGCTGTGAAATAAAACCGTGATGAATAGACTCTGCATGGCCCCTGCTGGTCTTTACCCTTCAGCATTCTAGATAGTGCACCTCATATGCCATGATGCAAACACCATTGACTCCCTCCAGGGCAGATATAAATCTCCCTTTCCCCCGCATCCAGCAAGCACACTCCATCAGCCTATGGGTCACTTCAACCCCATGACTCCCCAGTCGGGACTGTGGCAAATGCAATAGACTTCAGTCCAGTCTCTGTGCCTGGAGAAGAAAGGGAAGCTGGTCAGAGCCCACAGGAGGAGGTGACCCACAGGGAGCCAGTAGTAGGTGGGTGTGAGGGTGAGTATGACAGAGCAGTTACTTGGGCTCAGCAGTCAGACTGTCTCCTTAGAGTCATGAGTCAGCCCACTGACAGTTACTAAACTTCCTAGTGACCTCAGTTTCCTTGTCTGTAAAATGGGGCTGATAGCTGTCTCTAGGTCATAGGGCTCTTGTGAGGTTTAAATGATTTAATTCATGTAAATCCCTTAGGAACGTGACTGACACTTTTTTTAAGGTACAATTCTGTAAAAGAGTGGGACCCATCCATTTAGGTCCTGTTTCCTTATTCCAGGTGTGATGAAACCAGCTCTCCCCAACACTTATCCTGACCCCCGTTCTATGTCTGCAGGTGGAGCGCTGTTCTGTCCCTTACAACCTATGGTGTGGGGGGCAACCAGGAAAAGGCCAGGGTGGTGCCAAGTATGAGGAAGTCACAGAGTAACACACACACATACACACATACATACCCATACCTGCTTATATACATAAATATGTACAGATACATACATATACGCACTTATAAACACGCACATACACATAGATGCCCATACCTGTTTATACATCCACATGTGCACAGACAGACACACGCACATTACACAGTCCCAATTCCTTGATTCAGTTTGGGGCCTGGGTAATTCCAGTTCAATCTCTTTTAAGAAATTTAAGAATCTGAAAGAGAAAGACCTGAGAATTTTTGTCCCACAAGAGACAGACCCACTTCCTAGGCACTGTGGGACTTTCTGAGCCCCATGTGGCCCTGCTCCTGGAAGCTCATGGAGGAGCGGGAAAATATGACTTAACATCAAGGTTCTGAAGTCCAGAGGCAGCCCTAGGAACTGGCCTTCCCTGGGTACCAGGCCTCCGGGAGTCCAGCAGGTCCCCGGGAGTCCAGCAGGTCCCCTTCCTCCTATCTCACCTATGACGTCTCAGCCTGCCTTCCACAGCCAGGGGCCCCTCCCAGGCTTTGCTGCACAGCAGGAATCTCCACGGGGCTCTAGAAGGAACAGGGACAGAGTTTAACTTAACCCCCTCGGGTGATGCACCCTCAGGTCCAGTTTTTTGGTTCTAACATTGGTGATACCACTTTTCAGTCTTAAAATGTCTTTTTCGGCCAGGCGCGGTGGCTCACGCCTGTAATCCCAGCACTCTGGGAGGCCGAGGCGGGCGGATCATGAGGTCAGGAGATCGAGACCATCCTGGCTAACACAGTGAAACCCCGTCTCTACTAAAAATACAAAAAATTAGCCGGGCTTAGTGGCGGGCGCCTGTAGTCCCAGCTACTCGGGAGGCTGAGGCAGGAGAATGGCGTGAACCTGGGAGGCGGAGCTTGCAGTGAGCTGAGATCGCGCCACTGCACTCCAGCCTGGGTGACAGAGAGAGACTCCGTCTCAAAAAAAAAAAAAAAAAAAAAAAAAAAAAAAAGTCTGTTTCTTTTCTGATTTGCAAAAAGGTTTATAACTTTTGATACTCACATCTGCTACTTTCTATTAGAACCTAGCAGTCCTTCGTGGTACTTTCATCTACTGTGTCTCTGCCGATTCCGTTTCCTGGTGTTTTATCTTCTGGTTGGGTTAAAGATTATATGTAATTGTTGGGCACAGAGGGCCAGGAAAGAAAAAGATTCCCGGTGAAGCTAGACCCAAGTACCTCACTGTTGACAAGGGTAACTACTGTCCTTTCCTATTTACCTCCCTGCACTCCTTCTTCTCTGTCCTCCCTCCCCACCCACCCATGGGAGAGCCTCAGGAGCCTGGGCCAGAATCCCCAACCCCGCAGTAGGGAGGAGGAGGAGGAGGCGGCGACGGAGGAGGAGAAGGAGGAGGAGGAGGAGACGGAGACTGTTCGGTCTCCTCTTTCCTCAAATATGGATGCCTCCAAGGAACATAATTCCAGCTCCAAGAGGTCCTGACGTGGGGCCTGGAGGACCCCAGTACCTGCCGGCAGCATCATCTCCTTGCCATCCTCCAGGTGTCTGAGCAGCCACCTAGTGCAGTGACCCATCGGGGCTTCCCTTGTGGCCTCCGCGGTCCAGAACCTCTCCCAGGTGTGATGGATCCTCCAAGCCGCTCTTTGAGCCGCTGTCCAGGTCTGCAGGTCCTCGTTCAGGGACATGAAATCTCCTTGTCGTAGGCGGACTTAAAGTGTCCTTCGAGGAAGCTCCTGTCCGGAGCCACCACCCAGCCAGACAGCAGCATCTGCAGGTGCGGTGCCCTGGACCTGCCCCAGGGTGAGCCGGAGGCGGGGCCAGGGAGGGGAGGGAGGTCGCCCCGCCCACCCCAGCTCCTTCCTCCCTCTGTCATTGGTCACAGAACAAGTCAGTCATGATCCAGATTGAAGGAGAAACCTGGAGCAAAATGGCCCCAGCGCTTCCCCACCTGAGAGGGATCAGCTGAGGCCCCGCCCCCCCATCCCTGGGAGAACCGGGCTGGTCACTCTGGGGTCGGGGCGGGGCACACCTGTGCCCGGAGTCTGAGGTCACTCACCGGCTGACCCTGGTGGTGGTGCGGGCCCAGGAACCTCAGGCCCCTCAGTAACACATTCCCTGCGGTCTTCGAGAACTTTCCTCAGGGCGCCCACAGCCCTGTGCCATCTTCTCCACCCGCGCTTCACGCTCTGATTCTCGCCGCGGCTGTGGAAGCTCAGGAATCGCGTGTCGCCCACGAAGGCGCCGCGGAGGAACTCAGGGCCCACGTGGTGAAGGCGGAGCCCGGCGGCCTTCAAGTACCCGGGGTGCGGGCCTGGGCTCCGGGAACCCGCACATTGCGGGCGGGAGAGGCGCAGGGTGCCTGGGACACCGCCCCGCTCCCCTCTCTCCTGGACGCCGTCGCCCTGCCTCCCCGCGGGGACACAGCCTCCCTCCCACGTCCCGCCCGGCACCGGAGCCGCTCACTTGGGAGCTTCTTACTGTGTGGGGGGAGCTGGGGAGGGGACAGAGGGACGGGAACCAGGGGAGGGTGGCTTGGGGCGGCGGCTCTGGGAGAAGTGACCTGAGGAGTCTGCAGATCCCAGCCCGGGACGGAGGCGCCGCGAGAGGAGCTACTAAGCCCTCCAAGCCGCCCTTTCCCTCTTGCCTCCCCAGCCCAGTTCATCCTGATCTTCTCACCAGCCCAGTTCTCCCTAAGGTCAGGGCCCACAAAGGAACAGGAAGGGGGTTCCGGGACACAGGATCCGGCTTCTCTGGGTATCTTGGAGTCCAGGAAGGATCCTGGAGATCTCCCACTTTATGAAGCTCATCCTCCACTGACTCTGATGGCTTCTCTAGAACCCGAGACCAACTGATAAAGGCGTCCCATCTGGACGCCCTTATCAGTCCTGGGGGAAAAACAAGAGCCAAGGGTGAGAGGTGGCCATGAGGTCAGGGAAACCCCTGCAGAATTCTCAGGAGAGGGAAATCTTCAGAGCTGTGGCTTTGGCTTAGTTTGTCTTCCCACCAGCCACCTGTCCTGGAGCTGGAGATGCTTAAGTTTAAACCAGAGACTTTGGATATTTTCCCTGAGTGACATAATCCTTGTCTTTCTCTCCTGGAATCGTGGGTCCAGACCATCACAGTGATCCAGTCGGCCCCCTCTCCTTCTTCTCTCACTCCAATCTCTCTCCCTGAGCTGGACTCTCCGCCCACCCTCACATTCTGGAAAAGTGCAGTGGTGTGAGCATGGCCCTGGGGCAGAATTGTCTGGGTGCAAACCCGGCTCCATCCCTACTTTTGTGTGATCTTCATTCCTATGGCATTAACTATGAAAGGGAAAAATAACAGGCACAAGCCATGGATGTGTAGTCAGAATAAAATGAATTGGCATTTTTAAAGTGCGAAGACCACTATTTGACACATAGCACAATAAAAGTGTAAAATGTTATCATTCTTGTCATTTCTTTAGGCCCTTTTTCTTGAGGTCTTCCTCTTCTCTTTGGGTTCCCATGAAAATTTACCCTGTTGGAAGTTGATGTCAGCAAGACACCTCCTCTTGGGAAATGCTGGCTCAGTGTGGGGCCTCCCTTTTAGTAAAGGGAAAAACCGATGGTGGACCAGTAGCTAGTGAGTCAGAGTCCATTTTATTTAAACAAGATCACCTACCTAGAATTAACTCCATTTTGATAAGGACATGCATCTCACAGATAAGCCCAGTGTAATTTATGAGGAGATTGCTTTATTTGTGTAGAACTTACTCTAGTGCTTTTCATAGTCTTGCAACACATTTTGAATCCCTGGTTCTCATTTCACACTGACTGCCTCACAGAGTGAAGACGATGAGAAGTATCTTCATACTATATTCCCACGTTCGTCTATCGGAGTCACAGTCATATATTACATATGCAGATATTTTTCCTAGAAGTTTGAATTTATTGATGTAGATTTTAATCTGGAATAGATAGATATTACCTAACATTTTTGTTTTTATTACCTCTAAGTTACACATGCTTAAGTAGTCACTACTGATACCTATGCATTTTCTCCCTTGGCATGTGACATTGACATAAAAATTGTACATTGTACTTTAGTTTTCAGCAATTATTAATTATGTAATTTGGATCATCCCTCCCATTGAGTACTACTGGACAAGTGGGAAAAGGGTACATATTTGAAAAATCTGATGGAAAGTATGAAGGGGCTAACCAAGCAGTAAAGATTTGCCAGGCCAGGAACCAGGAGAAGGCAGAAATCTAGAAGAGCAAGTTGAGCTGCAGGGTTGCTTTTGTCCTGGGTGATGTTGGCTGCTCTGGGCAGTGTCTGAGACCTTTGAGGGCTAGGTGGATAAAGTCTACATCTAAAGGCTGCGGGTGCATATGTGGCACTGTAAATCCCTGGGATTAGGATGGGTCCCAAAGGGCTGATCCATAAGAGCAACACAGTCAGTTCTCAGGAGTGGCAGCTCAATTTTTGTTTGAGTGGTCCAGCAGTTTTCACTGCTCTTATTAAAAATTGTAATTGAGGATCTTCCCAGTGTCATAAAGAAGAAAAGAAATATACTTAAAAAGGTTTGAAAAGAAGGCACAAAACTCTTATAATTTGCAAATGGTAATATGCTGAATGCAGAAAATACAAATGATTAGAACACTCTTGAAGTTAATAAGATACATATATATATAAATATATTTATATATATATATATATATATTTTTTTTTTTTTTTTTTTTTGAGACGGAGTCTCGCTCTGTCGCCCAGGCTGGAGTGCAGTGGCGAGATCTCGGCTCACTGCAAGCTCCGCCTCCCAGATTTACTTAGGCCATTCTCCTGCCTCAGCCTCCCGAGTAGCTGGGATTACAGGCGCCCGCCACCATGCCCGGCTAATTTTTTGTATTTTTAGTAGAGATGGGGTTTCACCATGTTAGCCAGGATGGTCTTGATCTCCTGACCTCGTGATCCGGAAGTTAATAAGATATTTTTGCTTGGTAGGTAGAAGAAATTATAGAGCTGTTTTGCACAGATATAAAATGAAAATTTTAAAAAATTGATTCAGCAAAAGTGCGTACATATAAACTTCTAAAACTAAACCTAACAAATTCTGTACAAGATATCAATTGGGATATTTAAAAAACCCTACTGAGTAATAATAGAAGACAGTAATTAAAGAAGACAGTGAATTAACTGAATCAATTTACCAGGATCCTGGCTTGGATGGTTCAATATAATAATGACATTAATTTCCTACAGTACTCTAAGAACTCAAACACATCTCAATCAAATGTTTATCAAGCATTTTTGCAACACATAGTAAGCCAATTTTAAGCCTTATATTGAAATATGAAAGAGAAAAAGTAGCTATGACACTCTAAATAAGAATAATAAGCAGAGAGAATTTCCTTAGCAGATATTAAGACTTATGTTAGAGTTATTTTAATTAAGAGAGTCGAGATGTTGAGACAGGGTAGTAAACTAGAACTTGGGAACAGAATAGAAAGCCCTGAACGTATGTAGAGCAGAGGCAACATTACAGATCAGTGGGTAAAGGAAAACGATTTAGAAAATAATTTAACAACAATTGGTTATCTATCTGGAAAAATGCAATTGTACTCATCTCTTGTAAAAAAATGTGATTGTACTCATCTCTTTACAGTAATATAGTAGAATATCTTCATTACTTTAGTGTAGGGAAAGATTTTTATGCAGGTTACAACAAAGTATTAACCCCAGGGTAATCTTTGACAGGATTAAAGACATTAAAGTTGAGCTCCCAGATTATTTGGGGTTTTCCATTCCCCAGTGGACAGCGATAAATGACTAAATGTTCCTCTGGGAAAGTCCTGTAAAAAGAATTTATCTCAGAGTGAATTATAGGGTCCTTTCTCAAGGGCACCAGCCTTCTGCTTATTTGAGGGGCTCTGACATATCAGCTGGCTTTGGTGTAGCTACTGGATAAGAATTTCTGAATATCCAGGACTCAAGATTGGTGACTGCTCAGCAGACCTAGCAGTTTTTATACCTGTATGTGTCATGTGGCACCTTAATGCCTTGGTAAGGGGGGCATCCTCTCAGCCCTCCCGGGAGATGTGGTTAGGAGATGTTAAGTAGGTTGCACATAATGGATACATTCCCACTTTTCCGTCTCTCTGAGCTGTGTTCAGACACTTTCCTCTGCAGTATGCCTGTGATAGGGATTCTGTTGATATAGGCTAGTGGTTTTCACAAACTGTTGCATATAGCAAAATCTGGAGAGATGATTTGTTTTAATAAACTCAAGGCTCTAGCCTGTTAAATTAGAATAATATCTGGGCCTGTGTAGTTTTGCTACAATTCCCAGATGATTTTGATACATACCAAATATTGAGAACCACTGCTTTGAGCTACTAGTTTTTAACTTGGCTGTTGATTGGAGTCAAACCTGGAGAGTTTTAGGAACAATACTGTTTCCAGGATCCTACTTTTGATGAATTAGATTTCATTGGTTTTACATGTTGATCTAGACCTGGGGCTATTTAAAATCTCCCACGTGATGGAAAGCTCAGTCAAATTTGAGAAACACTGTGCTAGGCCACAGTTGAATTCGGGTTTTAATTAGCTAACCTGGCTGACTATTAACATCACTCTTAGGTGTTCAAAATAACACATTTAATCTAAGATACTGGGTGAAGATCCCATATTGATGAATCCAGGCCAATCACATCTCATTTCTCCCTATGTCAATACTGAAAGCTATGGGGAGAAATCCCTCCAACCAGTGCTCCTCATCACTCTCTCCGTGATGATGCTCCCATTTAGCCGATCCCAAATAAAAGCCAGAAAGCAAGGCTGCCTTTTGTGGTCCAGCAGGCCATGCAGCACAGTGTCCAGGACACGGAGCAGGGAGAGTACATGGAGTGTGGATCAGGAGTGCACAGAGAAGATACCAGCAGACCTGCCCTCTCCATTGCACTCAAAATCACACTGGATTTCCTAGCTAGTGCAATCAGGCAACAGAATATATCAACTACATGAATTAATAAAAGCTTTAAGCAAAGTCATTGAATTAAAACTATATAAAATTATTTATATTTATACATACCACAACCAACACTGAAATTCAACAAAGAAAGAGATACTGTGAACACTAGCACCATATTTCAAGATCTTTGGAATAAATCTACTAAAAGATGCACAAGTAAAACCAGCAATACTTTATTTAAGAGTATTTAATAAGTAAACATTACATGTTCATGAATTATAAGTCTCAATGTGGCAAAATTTGTCAGTGCTCTCCAAATCTGATTACTGAATGAAATCTCTATTAAAAATAAAATTGTTAAAGGTACTTGGAAAGGTGCCTGTCAAGCTAGGAAAGTTGCCAATGATAGAAAAAACACTCCTGAAGTGAAAACTCAAAATTTATGGATTTACTTCATTGTATAGAGAGACATATTATAAAGCCGTTGATTATCTTGGGATGATGAAAATGTTCTAAAATTAAATATGCAGATTTAAAACTCTGAATATGTGAAAAACCATTGAATTGCATACTTTAGATGGGTGAGTAGTATGTGATTTATATCTCAATAAAGTTTAATGAGGAAAACATAATGAGATATTTTGAAAAATGCACTAGAATTTCTATATTAAAATTATTGAGTTTTCCAAACACTGATGAGAATACAGACCATCAAGATCTACCACACATTGCTTGCCACAGCCACTTTATCTAGCAGTGTGGCATCATCTCTTTGAGTGGGATATCATACACATATACCAGTAACTCCACTCCTAGGTGTATAATTTTGACAGATATGTGCCCATTGTGCCAACAGACTAGTGCTAGAAGACTTGTAACAGCATTGCTTGTAATTTTAAAAAATCTGACAACAAATGAAATGACCATAAACGAGAGAAGGGTTAATTTAATATATGATGTATTTATTCAATGAAATGTTACAAATAATAAACATGAATACAGACACCTATAAAAACTTAGCAAACATACATTTGATCTAAAATGAGGTCTTGTAAGAATATACACAGCATGATTCCATTTGTATGAAAAATTCAAAATTTATATAAAGTTTGAGATAACCTGTGTTGTTTTAGAAATATATGCATGGGGTAAAGCTTTAAAGAAAGACATGAACAGGATTACTATGAAATCAGAATGAGGGTGAACTCTAACGACAGAAAAGGGATTGTTATTGCTATGGGAATTGGTATGAAAACTTCTGGGTTTTTTTTCTGAGTTTTGTTTCTTTTTCACACGGATCTTCCCTTTAAAACCATGTGTTAAAATGTAAATGTAATTCAAGCCCTTCACTTTTGGTTGTAACTTAACAGTGTAAAACTGGTTTTAAAAAAAGTAATGTTAATTATTTATCTGTAGTTGGAAAAATTAACCTTTACTCACAAAAGAGATGGATTTCCCCCTACACCACTCATCAGAGAAGAGACCATGAATTGGAATGGGAACTCGGAATTGTCATCATCCTATAATTCTACTCAGGATTCTGTCCTTAAAACATTGGCACACTGCTGTCCAGCTCCCTTCTGTAGTGATGGAATGCCTATATCTGTGCTGTTCATTACGTCAGTCACCGGCCACCCATGAATTCTGAGTATTTGAAATGTGGCTAGTACAAATGAGAAACTGGGAAAACTGACTTTTAAAATTAATATAATTTTAATTGATTTAAGTGTAAATAGTGTCTTGTGGACAAGGCAACATTACAAAAATAAAATGCAGCACCCGCTGTCTCTGTCTTTTTGTTCAGCCATGCATCGTGTGAATGACAGCTTCATTGTTACTAACTTTGAAAAGACCCCATTTCGAAGAAAAATGGAATTTCAGCTTCTTCAGGGGTGAGACTTTCTTGAACTCAGCATCTAATAAAATACCCAAACCACACGAAAGGACCCTGTTTATCTCTGTTCTCTCTGGGTATAGAAAAACATGCTGAATTCTTATTTGTATGCGAAATAAAGGGGTTTTCAATGGGAAATTTTTCTGTAAGGTGAGAAATTTATTCTAAATATAGTTCTCTAATTTCAAATGTTTTATCCAAGTTGCTTATAATTATTACTGTTTGGCTACTATAGTGTAAATATTTTTCAAATCATCTGAAATTTAAAAATATAGCAATATAATTCTATGCTGTGTGTGAAAAGGATTAAAAACAAGGTAAGCCTGTGTTAGCTTGGTAAATTATCACAATATAAGAGTGTTGTACAATGTACCAAGTTTAATGTAAAAGATAATGAACACCTCACACAGCCCATTAAATTAATCAGAAACATTTCACTGTGAATGTGGAAGGGAAGATGAACAGAATTTTAAACACATTGGGTGTGCACAGAGGATCAGAATCGTGAATTTAGCATCACTTTTATATATTTTTTATTTACTTAGAGAGACTTTAGCACTTACTATGTCTCAGGCACTTTTCTAGATGCTTTTGATGCATTAAAACACATTTAATCCTTGTATCAACTTTAAGAAGTAGCCACCATGCTAATCCCAATTTACGGGTGAGTAGTAACTTTGCGTAACTCCAGCCAAGGGCATGATAAGCTTTTACAGTTCTTTTGTAGTTTTTATTCCTAAAACATGGCTTTCATTCATCTTTTTTCTAATTAATGTTCAAATATATCTAGCAACTAGTTATGTTTTGTAGGATAATTTTTTTGTCATTCATTCTACAATGATTTAGCTTAGCATTAAAAGTTTATGGAATTTCCTTTTAGTTTGTAAATTAGAAACAAGGTAGGCATTTACTTCTTGTTGATATTCCCCAAACTTCATTGTACACAACAGCTTCTCTCAAATAGGATCTCACAGAATCAGTTCAAGGTTGAACTCCTAACACTAAAATTTTACATTAAAATTGCATTATCTGTTGCCCAGGCTGGAGTGCAGTGGCACCATCATAGCTTGCTGCAGCCTTGAACTCCTGGGCTGAAGGAACCTCCTGCCTCAGGCTCTTGAGTAGCTGGGACTACAAGGCATGCATCACCATGCCTGGCTTGGTATTTTCTTTTATCAGATAGCAGAGTGAAGCACTTGCATTACAAAAATAAAATACATAAAAATTACGACGACTTTGCCAATCTAACATATGACTTCAAATGGTAGTGGTTAAATTAGGAGCCAGTCAGCCACTTTCAAACATGTTTTTCAAAATGAAATTTTAAAGACAGTGTCATTGTTTACTTCTACTACTACTCATAGGTTTAGCTGTGGTCCTGCTATAGAGTTTGTTAAGAAAACTTCCCTGAGTTGTTTTAAATGGTCTTTTGAAAGCCAAACACTGCAATCCTATAATCATTGGAATTGGGAACAAACGATACGTTTCTAGGCTTTATTTTATTATAACTTAAAATCTTAGTGATGGTAGGATTATTTTTCCTTATTGATTTTTTCTAATATATTTAAAGCATTGATAATTGTGTTCAGTCAGTTGTATTTTATGCTGAATCATTTGACCATGTGAGGAAAGCAGATTTTTGGACTTTTAGCCCATCTTGACCAGAGGGATCAGTAAAAACGTGGAATGAAGAATTTCTTCCTGTGCACACCTTTTTTCTTGTGTGCATTGCCCCTCATTCACACTTCTGGGCATTCATACATTTGTGATTGCACTTTTTTGTATTAATTTGGAATCATTTATTAATTCCACAGTCAAGTTAATAAAATGGTTAAAAATAAATTTTACATGAATTTTCTCAAAATTCATTACTTGATCCATTTATTCATTCTAAACCCATGTCAAATACCATTCTTTAAACCTCATCTTGTATTAAAGTTGCTTTCATTTATTAATTCAATCAAATGGCATTGAAATTTGTAGCAAGAGGCATCTAAGAAGGCAGAATGTTTCTATCTGTTCTGGGATTTTAACAGGGGTAGAAAGATGTGAAAGGCAGAGGGAAAAGAGGCCTCACAGAGGCAGCCCAGATATAATGACACCTGCCTCCCTGGCCAGAAGCCAACTTCCAGGATTCAGGATTCAGGAATAAAGTGTCCCAATATTCAGAAGGTTTCCTGGTCTCTCTTGAATTCAGTGCTCAGTTGGCCAGGGCTAAGACCCTCACACATTTTGGTTTGAGGATCCAAGCATAGAATGTGGCTGTCTCTGGGACATTTCATACTAAAGAAGCCCAGCACGTATAGACAAAGGGTCTAGAGGCCACCAGCCACCCTTCCATGCAGCTCTGTTCAAGGCACCTCCCCGTGCTCCATTACTTATGTTGGCCACGTCCTCAGGAGTTTAGAGAAATGGCCGTGTTGTCTCTGAGTGGAAGTGAGGGGAGGACACTAGGATAGTCAGGATTTTGAATCCCTGTGTCCTTTCCCTCCATCTCTACCAGAGACCACTTGTGGAAAAAAAAGACACGAATGTCAGAGGTGAATCCAGGCCCATGGATCCATTGTGGTCAGGGGACTGAAGCCAAGTGGCCCAACAGTGATGAAGTCTATGAGGCCTTCGTCACCCCAAAGCTCCCTCGATTAGGAGCTGCCTCTTACTGCCATCAGGGACCCCAGGAGCTGGACATGGCATTCTTTGTCATTTCTCATGAGGAGCTGGAGAGGTCCCAGAGCATATAGACCTTAATCAAATTGGAGCCAGAGTGGAGTCAGGTAAAACTCTCCATTGGGCAATATAATATGTTTGTTTTAATTTGCTAGAGCTGCCATAACAAAGTACCACACACTGGGTGACTTAAACAACAGAAATTCATTGTCTCACAGTTCTGGAGGCTGGAAGTTCAAGATCATGGTGTTGGCAGTGCTGATTTCTTCTAAGGTTCTTTCCTTGGCTTGTAGATGTGTTCTCTCTCTGTCTTCACATGGTCATTCCTCCGTATCTGTCTGTGTCTAATCTTCTCTTTTTATGAAGACACTAGTCACATTGAATTAGGGCACACTCACATGACCTCATTTTACCTTAATGACCTCCTTAAAACCTCTCCAAATGCAGTCACTCTCTCAGGTACTGGGGGTTAGGACATCAACATGCCAGTTTTGGGGGGATACAATTTAGCCCATAACAGTCTGATTATCCTTGAGATTGCATTTTCTAAAGAATAAAATAGAGTAAATTTCTTTGGCTCTGATACTCTGAAATTTTGTTCTTGCAATGAGAACAAAAAAATGGAGAACCAAAGGTTGGTGTCACCCAGAGGGTGAGCCCTCCCTAACTCTGGCTGCCCCAAGACCTGGTGCTGTGTCATACCAGAAACCCTTGTTCCATTCTAGTGATTCCAGTACCAGATTTTCAGCTGGAAAGAGGATGCTCTCCCAGGGGAACAACTTCTCCTGCTGTGCAGGCTTATTTTCTTTATATTTGGAGGGAAACAAAAGTTGATGTAATAAAAAGAACATATTTGTCAAATTTTTTTGGTAATCATTTTGATATCCTTATCAATACCCCATGTTGTGATGAATATGTTGGCTTTATTTTGGTGGAAGGGACATGACGCTGGTCATTTCGAGCCAGAATTTTCTGGGCCTTTCCATAGGATTCAGTTTCTGCCATGGTGGATAAGGGGAGAGCTCTTGGTGTAGGGTTTGGTCTTTATAATGAACCATGCTGTTTGGGCAGGAGGTTTATCTCTGGAAAGTTGAAGGTTAGGCAGGAGTGCGACCCTCCTCCTCATTCAAAAGGTCAGGGTAGAGCAGGTTCTTGTTCAGGGCGCAGTGAGTGAGAGAAGGGAAAGTGACAGAGAGCATTCTTTCACCTTTTTGTGACATGCATGCATCCAAGTCTCTGGTGTTTTAAATAACTGAAACTGAGATCTAGTTCCACTTATCTATAAAGTAGAACTGTGGAGAAGGGAGCATATCGTCCCCGCCACTGGAGAGATCCCTGAAGAGAGATTTGTGAGCCCCCATTTCATCAAAAATGACACAAAATTTCATCAAAATAAAGTGAAATTGTGGGTGTAGATGGGGCTTTATTTAGAGCTTCGACTCCCCACCTGCTTCCTAAGACATGATCCTTCCCCAGGATACTATAGAATCACAGGGCTTAAACTGGAGGGGTAAGGCGTAATGGTGTTCTTCCTTTCTGGCAGATAGGATGTTTTGAATTGCATGTATTTTCCAAAGAGGGCTGCAAAAATATCTAAATATCTTCCATCGCACTTGCTTTTCTTTAGTTTGACCCACCACTCCCTCATCAAGAGGTAAGTTCTCTCCACTCCTTAAACATAAGCAGATCTGATATCTGCGTTACCCAATAAAATATGGCAGAAGTGTGGCTGTGTCAGTCTGGGCACTGCTGTTAACCATCCTGCCTGCGTCTGGTTCCTTCCACTTCAATCCCTGGACCATGTAACACTCCCAGGCCATCATCTGAGCCCAGCCAACACATAGAACCCTATAAGAGATCATTAAAAATTCTTAGTTACTATTTTTGTGAATATCCTTCTCTGTCTTTCCAATTTCAACTTCTGTGTGTCGTTAGATCCAAAGTGAGAATCTTTTTTTTTTTTTTTTGAGACGGAGTCTCACTCTGTTGCCCAGGCTGGAGTGCAGTGGTACGATCTTAGCTCACTGAAACCTCTGCCTCCCCGGTTCCAGCAATTCTCCTGCCTTAGCCTCCCTTGTAACTGAGATTACAGGCACCTGCCACTACACCCGGCTAATTTTTTTCTATTTTTAGTAGAGACGGGGTTTCATCATGTTGGCCAGGCTGGTCTCGAACTCCTGACCTTGTGATCTGCCAGCCACCGTCTCCCAAAGTGCTGAGATTAAAAGTGTGAGCCACCGTGCCCAGCCAGATCCTTTTTATTCTGTCCATTGTGATAATCTCTGAATTCTGATTGGGAAGTTTAATCCATTTACATTTACATTTAAAGTAATTACTGATAAGGAAGGATTTACTTCTGTAATTGTGATGTTGGTTTTATGCATGTCTTATAGCTGTTTTGTCCTTCATCTCCTTCATTCCAACCTTCTTTTGTTTTTAGTCATTTTTCATTTAGTCGATTTTTTTCTAGTGATATGTTTTAACTGCCTTCTCATTTTCTTTTGTGTATATTTTATGTATATTTCTTTGTGATTACTGTGGTATTATATATAACAATACAGTTATAACAATCTTGAACTGAAATCAATATGAAACTCTGCTTCTTTACATCTTTTCCCACCCCTCATTTTACGTTATTGATGTCACAAGTTACACCTCGGCAGGCTGGAAGGCTGGAAAGTCATAATGTTGCAGCCTTCAATCTAAAATTTGTAGACCAGGCTGGCAGATTGGAAACCTAAAGTGTAGTTGCTACTGTCATCTTGAGGCAGAATTTTTTCTTCTCTGGGAAGACTCACATTTCGCCCAAAGGCCTTCAAGTGATTCAAAAAGTCCCACCCACATGTTTTAGGGTAATTTCCTTTTCATGAAATCAACTGATATCAGATTTTAATCACAACTGCAAAACACCATCATATCAACATATAAATTTAGTGTTTGATTAAATAACTAGGTGCTATGGTTTAGTAAAATTGACACATAAGACCCACCATCCCAGTCCATGCTTGTGAACTTGGCACCCATTAACATTTTCCTTAAACCTTACTTCGTCTCCAAATAAAAACAATTATAAAGTCTTACTTTTGCCAAAGATGATACAATTAACTTGCATCCAACTAGAAACACACTAACCCTTTCCACAGAAAAAGATGCATGATATGCACTCTTCTCTTTGATATACTGTAACCTAAATACCATGCGTAATAAAAGTTAACTTTTATTAATAAAAGGGAATTATTGTTAGCACATCTTATGTTTTATTACAGATCATCAGGAAAAGATGAAAAGAAAGGTATTTGCTCAATACATGTAAGGATACATACACACAGACATAAATATCATTATAAAAACATAAAGAAGTAATGCTGATAACATTTACTGTCTTTATTTCTGTAAGTGCTCACATGGTTACAGCTGGTTATTTATTTATTTATTTACTTACTTATTTATTTGAGACAGGGTCTTGTTCTGTTGCCCAGGCTGGAGTGCAGTGGCATTACCTTGGCTCACTACAACCTCCACCTCCTGG
Organism: Homo sapiens; assembly: GCF_000001405.40. NCBI lineage: Eukaryota > Metazoa > Chordata > Mammalia > Primates > Hominidae > Homo > Homo sapiens. The sequence continues at coordinate 2,664,016 of NT_167247.2, forward strand.
GCACAAGTGATCCTCCTACCTCAACCTCCTAAGTAGCTGGGACTACAAGCACACCACCAAGTCTGACTAATTTTTTGTATTTATTTTCAGTAGAGATGGAGTTTCAGCATTTTGCTCAGGTTGGTCTCACATTCCTAGACTTAAGCAATCCACCTGCCTCCGCCTCCCAAAGTGCTGGGATTACAGGCACAAGCCACTGTGCCGGCCACAACTAGTATTTATAAATACTTTTTTTGTTGTTTTTCACTAACCATCCCATATTCCCATTTCTTTCAGCAAGTCCGTCAGCTGATCAGGTTTCTTTTCCTGCTTGGGTGACTCAAACCTTCATTCCTGAAGGGTATGTGTCATTACTAGTCCTACCTGACTTGGGTTGTTGCCGTTTTTATTGACTTTAATTATACGGCAGAGTATTACTAAGAGATGCTCTAAAAGATCTCCTGTGTTCCAGACACAGTCCTATTTACTGCCATTGTGTAGTAGTAGACCAATTCCCCCTGATGGCCAGGACCAATCACCCCAGACAGTGCAGTAACTCCTTCCTTTGTTGATTCAGAATCATGAGGCTCTGAAGGGCCTGGGTAGCTGTCTTAGCTTCCAGCTCAATGGTTCATTTCTGTGTCTCCTGTGGGAGCATTCCTCCTTTAGTAAACCTCTAGATCCTGATCCTGTTCCTCCTGACTGGGCAAGACCTCCCAACCAGGGTCTCCAGCACCTCCTACAGGTGTGTTCAGGCTGGCAACAAGTCTGTACTTTCCTGGAACAGACCTCCCAGAGGAAGGGGCAGACTGCCATCTTTGCTGTTACATAGCCTTCACTGGTGATACCTTCAGGTACTGGAAAATCTGAGGCAACTAGGGACTGTAGCAGGCCCCTAGCAAACTGTACAGCCCTATAGAAAAGTGGCCAGACTGTTAAAAGAGAAAACAAAAGAAGAGAAAAAAAATCCACTCAAAGGTCAGCAACCTCAAAGATTGAGGGTAGATAAGCCCATAGAGATGAGAAGGAATCAGCAAAAGAATCTGATAACCAACCTGATAGAGGTAAAAAACACTTTATAAGAATTTCGTGGTGCACTCACAAGTATTAATAGCAGAATAGAGCAAGTGGAGAAAAGAATCTCAGTGCTTGAAGACTGGCTTTCTGAAATAAGACAAGAAGACAAGACTAGAGAAAAAAGAATGAAAAGGAATGAACAAAACATCTGAAAAACATGGGATTATGTAAAGAAACAATGTATGAATGATTGGTGTACCTGAAAGAGATGGGGAGAATGGAACCAATTTGGAAAACATTTCAGGATATGATCCATGAGAACTTCCCCAACCTAGCTAGACAGGCCAACATTCAAATTCAGAAATGCAGAGGACCCCAGTAAGCTGCTCCATGAGAAGATCATCCCCAAGACAAATAATCATCAGATGCTCCAAGGTTAAAATGAAAGAAAAAATGTCAAGGGTATCCAGAGAGAAAGGCCAGATCACCTACAAAGGGAAGCCCATCAGACTAACAGTGGATGTCTCAGTGGAAATCCTACAAGCCAGAAGAGACTGAGGTCCAGTATTCAACATTCTCAAAGAAAAGAGTTTCCAACCCAGAATTTCATATCCAAACAAACTAAGCTTCATAAGCAAAGGAGAAATCAGATTCTTTTCAGGCAAACAAATGCCAAGGGAATTCATTACTACCAGACCTGCATTACAAGAACTCCTGAAGGAAGCACTAAACATGGAAAGACAGTTACCAGCCACTACAAAAACACAATGAAGTACACAGACTAGTGACACAATAAAGCAACCACATAAGAAAGTCTGCAAAGTAAGTAGCTAACATCATGATGATAGGATCAAATCCATACATATCAATACTAACCTTAAATGTAAATGGGCTAAATGCCCCATTTAAAAGACATAGAGTGGCAAGCTGGATAAAGAACCAAGACCTATCAGTATGCTGTCTTCAATACACCCATTTCACATGCAATGACACACATAGGCTCAAAACAAAAAGATGGAAGAAAATTTACCAAGCAAATGGAAAGCAGAAAAAAAGCCAGGGTTGCAACTCTTGTTTCTGACAAAACAGGTGTTAAACCAAAAAAGATAAAAAAAAGACAAAGAAGGGCATTACATAATGGTAAAGGGTTCAATTCAACAAGGAGATCTAACTATCTGAAATATATATGCATCCTATACAGGAACACCCACATTCATAAAGTAGGTTCCTAGAGACCTTCAAAGAGACTTAGAATCTCACACAATAATAGTAAGAGATTTTAATACTCCACTGACAATATTAGACAGATTATCAAGACAGAAAATTAACGAAGATATTCAGGACCTGAACTCAGCCCTGCATCAAATGGACCTGATAAATATCTACAGAAGTCTTCACCCCAAAGCAATGGAATATACATTTTTTGCATTGTCACATGGCACTTACTCTAAAATCAATCACACAATTGGAAGTAAAACACTCCTCAGCAAATGCAAAAGAACTGAAATCATAACAAATAGTCACTTGGACCACAGTGCAATCAAATTCAAAATAAAGACTAAGAAATTCACTCAAACCATACAATTACATAGAAATTGAATAACCTGTTCTTGAACGACTTTTGGGTAAATAATGAAATTAAGGCACAAATCAAGAAGTTCTTTGAAGATAATTAGAACAAAGATACAATGTACCAGAATCTCTGGGAAAGAGCTAAGGCAGTGTTAAGAGAGAAATTTATAGCATTAAATGCCCACATCAAAAAGTTAGAAAGATTTCAAGTTAACAACCTAAAATCACAACCAAAAGAACTTGAGAACAAAGAGCAAACATATCCCTAAGCTAGCAGAAGACAAGACGTAATAATAAAAAATTAACAAAGGTATTGTCTCCTGAAGGAGACAGAGACATGAAAAACCACTCAAAAGATCAACGAATTCAGGAGGTTTTTTTTTTTTTTTTTTGAGATAGAGTTTCACTCTTGTTACCCAGGCAGGAGTGCAGTGGTGTGATCTCGGCTCATTGCAACCTCCGCCTCCCAGGTTCAAGCGATTCTCCTACCTCAGCCTCCCGAGTAGCTGGGACTATAGGTACCCGCCACCATGCTGGGCTAAGTTTTTGTACTTTTAGTAAAGATGGGGTTTCACCCCGTTAGCCAGGATGGTCTCCATCTCCTGACCTCATGATCCACTGCCTCAGCCTCCCAAAGTGCTGGGATTACAGGCGTGAGCCACCGTGCCCGGCCACTACCACTGACATTCTTCACAGAACTAGAAAAAACTATTTTAAAATTCACCTGGAACCAAAAAAGAGCCTGAATAGCCAAGGCAATCCTAAACAAAAGGAACAAAGCTGGAGGCATTACACTACCTGATTTTTTTTTTTTTTTTTTGAGATGGAGTCTCACCCTGTCATCCAGGCTGGGGTGCAATTGTGTAATCCTGGCTCACTGCAACCTCTGCCTCCTGGGTTCAAGTGATTCTCCTTTTCTCAGCCTCCTGAGTAGCTGGGATTACAGGCACATGCCACCACGCTCAGCTAATTTTTTGTATCTTTAGTAGAGACAAGGTTTCACCTTGTTGACCAGACTGGTCTCGAACTCCTGACCTCATGATCCACCTGCCTCTGCCTCCCAAAGTGCTGGGATTACAGGCATGAGCCACCACGTCCAGTGTATGCTACCTGATTTCAACTATACTTCAAGGCTACAGTAACCGAAACAGCATGGTACTGGTACAAAAATAGACATATAGACCAATGGAACAGAATAGAGAACCCAGAAATAAGACCACACACAACTATGATCATTGACAAACCTGACAAAAACAAGCAATGGGGAAAGGATTCCCTATTCATAAATTGTGCTGGGATAACTGGCTAGCCATATGCAGAAGATTAAAATGGAACCCCTTTCTTACACCATATACCAAAATCACCTCAAAATGGATTAAAGACTTAAATGTAAGATCCAAAACTGTAAAAACCGTAACAGAACCTAGGCAATACCATTTAGGACATAGGTATGGGCAACGATTTCATGACAAAGATGCCAAAAGCAAGTGCAACACAAGCAAAAATTGTCAAATGGGATCTAATTCGACTAAAGAGCTCTGCACAGCAAAAGAAACTATCGACAGAGTAAACAACCTACAGAATGGGGGAAAATTTTTTGCAAACTATGCATCTGACAAAAGTCTAATATCTATAAGGAATTTAAACAAATTTACAAGAAAAAACAAAACAACCCCATTAAAAAGTGGGCAAAGCATATAAACAGACACTTCTCAAAAGAAGGCATACATGCAGCCAACAAACATGAAAAAATGCTCAACATCACTGATGATTAGAGAAATGCAAATCTAAACCACAGTGAGATGCCATTTCACACCAGTCAGAATGGCTATTATTAAAAAGTCAAAAAATAACAGATGCTGGCAAAGTTGTGGAGAAAAAGGAATACTTATATACTCTTGGTGGAAGTGCAAATTAGGTCAGCCATTGTGGAAGACAGTGTGGTGATTTCTTGAAGACCTAAAGAGAGAAATACCATTCTACCCAAAGGAATATAAATTATTCTATTATAAAGACATAGGCACACATATGTTCATTGCAGCACTATTCACAATAGCAAAGACATGGAATCAACTTAAATGCCCACCAATTATAGACTGGATAAAGAAAACGTGATACATGTATACCATGGAACACTATGCAGCCAGAAAAAGGAATGTGATCATGTCCTTTGCAGGGACATGGGTGGAGCTGGAAGCCATTATCCTTAGCAAACTAATGCAGAAACAGAAAACCAAATACTGCATGTTCTCACTTATATGTGGGAGCTAAATGATGAGAATGCATAGAGACATAGAGGGGAATAGCACACACTGGGCACTGGGGCCTTTCAGAAGGTGGAGGGTGGGAGGAAGAAGAGGATCAGGGAAAATAACTAATGGGTAATAGGCTTAAAACCTGGGTGATTAAATAATCTGTGTACCAAACTCCCACAACACAAGTTTACCTGTAAAACAGCCTGCACTTGTACCCCTGAACTGAAAATAAAAGTTAAAAAAAGGAACTGATCTGTGGATTTTGGCTGTTGCTGAGTAGGTCTATTTCAATTATGCAAACAAGCACTGAGGAAATAATCACAGAGAGGTCAGGGGCCCACTGGGACCACTGTGAGAATGGTTCATGTATGTTAGGGCTTCAGGTTTTCTATTCTTCCTAATGTAATCTTGGCAGGTTGTTTGTTTCCAGGAATTTATCCATTTCCTCCAGGTTTTCCAGTTTGTCAGTACACAATTGTTCATAATAGTCTCTGATGGTCTTTTGTACTTTTGCAATATCAGTTGTAATGTTTCTCTTTTCTTTTCTGATTTTGTTTGAGTCTGTTAGAAATAAAGCTCGAAGTCACAAAGAAAATGAGCACTTGAACAAAGTATTTCTCAGCAAGGCAATTTTTACTTCTGCAGAAGGGTGCTACCTGTAAGCCTGATTGCCACGAGAGCACCCAGAACAAGGGAAAGCAGGGGTTTTTATTCCTAACGCAAGTTGTTTCTACTATTGTGTCCTGTGTCCATTGGCTGGAGCTGGACCGCACAGTCTAAACTGATCCCGGTTGGCTAAAAACTTTAACTTTCCTAAATAAGGTAAAGGTGCAATGGGGAACAAAGGAAAGGAGGGGGTCACTTATGGGAAACCAGGAAGACAATAAGATTTCCAAATAAGGCAAGAGCATAGGCTGCAAGCTGGGACATGTCTGGGCATGTCTGGTCAGATCCAGGCAGACTAGGAGTTAGGCCTTGGTTCAAGTACAAGAACATAGAATGTGTTTATTTCTTTACTGTATGTAACAACTACTTGGAGCACAATAAAGAATCATTAGTAAATTAGAAGATTTGTTAGTATGAAGAGTAAGGGAAACTTAAAGAAAGATTTTAAGAGGAACTATCTTCTTTTTTTGTTTGTTTTTTGTTTGTTTGTTTTGAGACAGAGTCTCACTCTGTAGCCCAGACTGGAGTGCAGTGGCGCAATTTAGGCTCACTGCAACCTCTGCCTCCGGGGCTCAAGCGATTCTCCTGCCTCAGTCTCCCGAGTAGCTGGGATTACAGGCACGTGCCACCACGCCCAGCTAATTTTTTTTTCCTGTTTTCTTTTTTTTTTTTTTAGTAGAGGCGGGGTTTCACCATGTTAGTCAGGATGGTCTCGATCTCCTGAACTCATGATCCACCTGCCTCAGCCTCCCAAAGTGTTGGGATTACAGGTGTGAGCTGCTGCGCCCGGCTGAGGAACTATCTTCTTAACACTTATCATTCTTAACCAAAAAGGAAAACTTTGGAGAGGTACTTTTATTCTTTACAGTTTCCCCCTCTTGATTTTACAGTTCTTCCTCTTCAAATCTCCTTAACATATCTTGATTTTGTTGCTCTTCTTAATCAGTTAGAAAGAACAACTTATCTGAGTAAGGGTGAGGAGAATTGAAAGGGGTTTTGGTAAGAGCCTTTTCTATAAGCCTTTGCACTAATCCATGAATGCAAGATATAATACAACATTCTACAAGGATAAGTACACTGATTATGAGAGCCAGTGAGGTGAGAATTGAGGACATGAGTCCTTTCCACTTAGCAAACCACCTTTCCATTAAGCTAGTGAAAGGATCATTTATTCCAGAGTTTTTAGCTAGTTCATTTGATGAAGCAGTAAGACCTTGTAGTGCTTTTATTATAGTTCGATCAGGGGCAGTATTATTAAGGATAAAAGTACAACATTGAGTTCCAATCATAACACAAACCTTGCCTTTTTCTGCTAGTATCATGTCTAGTGCTGTTCTATTTTCCCAAGTCATCTGACTGGTGGGTCCTAGTTGCTCAGCTATTCCCTCATAGCATCCCTTGTGCAATTAATGGGGTCAGCCCCCGCCCGGCCAGCCACTCCGTCAGGGAGGGAGGTGGGGGGTCAGCCCCCACCCGGCCAGCCAGCCCGTCCGGGAGGGAGGTGGGGGGGCAGCCCCCGCCCGGCCAGCCGCCCCGTCCGGGAGGGAGGTTGGGGGCGCCTCCGCCCGGCCACTGCCCCGTCTGGGAGGTGGGGGGCGCCTCTGCCCGGCCGCCCCGTCTGGGAAGTGAGGAGCCCTCTGCCCGGCCGCCACCCCGTCTGGGAGGTGTACCCAATAGCTCATTGAGAACGGGCCATGAGGACGATGGCAGTTTTGTCGAATAGAAGGGGGGGAAATGTGGGGAAAAGAAAGAGAGATCAGATTGTTACTGTGTCTGTGTAGAAAGAAGTAGACATGGGAGACTCCATTTTGTTCTGTACTAAGAAAAATTCTTCTGTCTTGGGATGCTGTCAATCTATAACCTTACCCCCAACCCCGTGCTCTCTGAAACATGTGCTGTGTCCACTCAGGGTTAAATGGATTAAGGGCGGTGCAAGATGTGCTTTGTTAAACAGATGCTTGAAGGCAGCATGCTCATTAAGAGTCATCACCACTCCCTAATCTCAAGTACCCAGGGACACAAACACTGCGGAAGGCCGCAGGGTCCTCTGTCTAGGAAAACCAGAGACCCTTGTTCACATGTTTATCTGCTGACCTTCCCTCCACTATTGTCCTATGACCCTGCCAAATCCCCCTCTCCAAGAAACACCCAAGAATGATCAATAAATACTAAAAAAAAATAAATTAATTAAAAAAAAATGAATCATTGCTGATTGTAGTAAATATAATTTACCCAACCTACATTTTTTTTTTCGAGATGGAGTCTCAGTCTGTCGCCCAGGCTGGAGTGCAGTGGTGTGATCTCGGCTCACTGCAACCTCCAACTCCCAGGTTGAAGTGACTCTCCTGAGTAGCTGGGATTACAGGTGCGTGCCACCACACTCAGCTAATTTTTGTATTTTTAGTAGAAACAGGGTTTCACTATGTTGGTCAGGCTGGTCTCAAACTCCTGACCTCGTGATCTGCCCGCCTTGGCCTCCCAAAGTGCTGCGATTACAGACGTGAGCCACTGCGCCTGGCTATCCAATCTATATTTTTATTGATAGTCACCCACCTGAATAATGACTTAAATTCTGCAGCTATTTGGTTTCAAGCTTTAAATTCATCTGGTACTCCAATAGCATCTATATAAACGTTGGGATCAAAAGACTCACAGGAACAGTTCTTGTACTACGATGCCTAGTTGTTAATATTTTTGTGAATGAAATGTCAGGGTGAAAGAGATAGCCAATTGAATTAGAGTGCAAGTACCACTCCAGTTATTTGGCAGAGTCTCCCACAAAGGTCCACCACAATACCACCATACATCTGCTCGGGGATGGATAAGGGAGGACTGATGGGTTAGCTCTTGGAAGTGCTTGACCTCACTGCATCCTGTCAGGTTTCCAAGGAAAGCCAAGTTTTCTCCCTGTTGTGAGAGACACAAAGCAAATTTGGTCCCAGAAGATGGAGGCTGAATGGCCTTTGGGGGCTGATCCGCAGAGTGCTGAACCTCAGGGAACAGCAAAGAAAGTCTTTGACACGATTTATTACCCCAGGCTGTGAGGTCTTGGAGCAGAGCTACCATGCAGTCCATATCTGGTCTATTACAAGACCATCTGAGTGGAAAGGGGACAGTTTGGGCCTCTGGTCTGCCCTGTGCCCAAGCATAACAATCGCTCTTATTTTGAGTGTGGATGGAATATTTAATCCATTCCAGCCAGGCATTTGCATCCTGAGACCCTGTTTCAGTGGCTAGAGTTTACCTCAGGTCTTTTACTTCTACTATAGCTACTTTGGTTTTGTCACTGGGTATAGGTGGGGTGATGGTTTGAGGAAGATGTGTTAGAGAGGTGGAAGGGGCAATAAAGCAGATTTCAAAAATTCCCCTAGGATCCTTTCCCAAGATGTTGGCCCCTATGCTATAAATATGACTTAATGAAGGGAAAGAGTTTTGGGATGTTGCAATAGTAATAGTAAGCCGAATAGGATTACACTGGTTATATGGACAATTAGAAGAGGCAATCCCTTTTGTAAAATGGATATATGGCTTTAAGGACTGGCAAAGACTGGTGGGAGCAGTCCAGCCTGGACCTTTGGTGTTCCATAGGACATTAGACCAAGTATAGCATAGGGACTCTGTTTTAAGGGGACAAGAGTCCCATTCCCACCAGTTCATACAGCTACTATTTTTGGGGTTATCATGATCTTTACAAGAATTTGTTATATCTTTCCAATCTGAGGAAGTTCAAGAGGGACAAAGATATTTATCTGAGGCAGTAAGCTGTCTTTGGTCCTGTAAATTTCCACAAGGCATGACTAGAGAAGCATCAAAGGTAATAATTTTGGGCAAACTTGATCTAGTTACATTAATGATGAGATGGGGGCAGTTAAGGGAAAGAAAAGAAGAAAAAGAGATAGATTAAGTTTTTCTTTTTATCGTTACTCTGGTGGGAGTTGACGGAATAATGGTCCATGTCTCTGGAGAAGGTGACGCCTACTTGACTCGAGTATAATGGGTCCACCCTTTCTCAGTGGTCCGAACTACTGTTTCAGTTGTTGTGAGCACCAGATAGGGTCCTTCCCAGGTAGGCTCAAGCTTTCCCTCTTTTCAGCCTTTGATAAGGACGTGTGATCTCCGGGTTGATGTTGGTGGGCCCAGAATTCAAGGGGTGGAGTCTGTGCTACCAGACCTTGAGTCCTGAGGGACGAAAGAGTGGAAGACAGACCAAATACATAATTTCTAAGGAACTGATCTTTTGTTTCGATCATAGGAAGGTCAGTAGTAGTGTTTAGATAAGGTAACCCATAAAGCATTTCATAAGGAGACAAGCCAAGATCCCTCCGAGGAGAAGTTTGGATTCTTAGTAAAGCAATGGGAAGAGATTTTGTCCATGGTAGGCGAGTTTCTAAAATTAATTTGGTTAGATGACTCTTTAAAGTTTGATTCATTCTTTCTACTCTCCCAGATGAAGGTGGAGGCCAGGAAGTATGATATTCCCATTTTATCCCTAATACTTGGATTAGTCTTTTAATAATGTACACGGTAAATTGGGTCCCATTATCTGAATCAATGTTCTCTATTATTCCAAACCTGGGTATGATATGTTCTAACAGAGCTTTGACCACATTACTGGCTGTTGAACTTGGAAAGGGGATGGCTTCTACCCAGTGGGTAAGATGATCTACTATTACCGGTAAATACTTAAGGCGGCCTACTGGGGGCATTTCAGTAGAGTCAACTTGGACACTTTGAAATCGCCTTAACCCAGGATTTCTCCCTCCGGGAGGTTGTCTTTTGAGGGTCTGCTTATTAGGTTTTCTGCACAGTATATAACTTTCCACCATTTGCTTGGCGAGGGTGTATATTCTTATGCACCCATAAACCCTAAGGACTGCATCACACATGGTTTGAGGACCCCAGTGACATCCTTGATGAAGCTGTGACAATATTTCCCTCATAAGGTTTGGGTAACATTTCCCTTCCATCTGGTAATACCCACTTTCCTTTTGAGTTTTCTTCAGCTCCTATTTTTTTCAGTTTTTCCTGATCTGCTTGAGAGAAGATAGGGAGTGCAGCTGAAGATGGAAGACAAGGGGTTAGTCGAAAAATGGGTTCTGCTGGAGAAGAGGCAGCTTGCTTGGCTATTTGGTCAGTGAGATTATTTCCCTGGCCTTCAAATAAAGGATTCCTTTGATGTCGTGGGACATGTACAACAGCTATTTCTTTTGGCAATTGTAAATTTTCTAGTACTTGTATTATTAGGTCCCTATGGTCTAAAATTTGACCTTTGCTGTTAATGAGGCCCCGCTCAGTCCAAATTTTTTCAAAAGTATGGACTACTCCAAAGGCATACCTGGAGTCTGTATAGATTGTTGCTTCTTGATTTGCAGAAATTTTAAGGCCTGATTTAATGTGAACAACTCACATGTTTGTGCAGACCAGTCATTTGGTAACCTTTCAGACTCTATTTCTGTGAGGGTATCTCCATCTATCGTTGAATACTCGTTATGCCTTTTTCCTTTGATTACTCGGGAGGAACCATCTACAAACAGGTGTTTCCCAGTATGAAAGGGTGTTTCATTTAGATCAGGTCTAACTTCTGTTTGATAACTAATTAAATCTAAACATCTGTGCTCTGGGCAAAGATCAGGGGTCTGTGGGTTGGGGTTTCCTGTTAAGAAAGCAGCTGGATTAATTGAGTCATCAGTGGTTAAGATTAGATCATCTCTTTCTAACAAGATGGCTTCATACTTTAAAATTCTTGAATCAATAAGCCACCTTCCTGCCTTCTGATTGAGAATTGTTCTCACTTGTTGAGGAGTACTAATGATAAGATTTCCCCAAAGGTTAATTTTCTGCTCTCCTCTATGAGCAAGGCTGTTGCTGCCACTGATGGGACACACTCGGGCCATCCATGGGCTACTGGGTGAAGAATTTTTGACAAGAAGGCTATGGGTTGCCAATGGCCTCCGTGTGTTTGAGTAAGTACCCCTAAGGCTACTTCATTACCTACATTAACAAAAAGATGAAAGGGCAATTCTAAAGAGGGTAAGGCTAGAACATGGGCTGTCACTAGTAACTCTTTTAATTTTTTTATCTGCTGTATTTCTTGTAAAACCATATAAGGGGGTCCAATTCATCCTGTGTAAGTTTTTTTTATGTAGAGGTTTGGTTACTAAAGCATAAGAGTCTCTCTATAAGCAACAATACCCTACTAACCCTAAAAACTTTCTAAGTTCCTTCTTTGTCTCAGGATATCATATGAAGGATATGATGCCTTCAATCCATTCAAATCCAATTCTCCATTTGCCCTTACTGATTAAGTCCCCTAAATACTTGACTTCAGGTTCTACAAACCGAAGTTTGCTTTTTTGACACTCATAACCCCTCCAGTTGCAAATTATTTTTAAAAAACCTATTGAAAATCCTTCTACTTTTTGTCTATCCTCCCCTGAAATAAGGATATTATCCATGTATTGGAGCAGGCATATATATGGTGGTTTGTAAAACTTTTCTATGATCTGTTCTAGTATTTGACCAAACAAATTTGGAGATTCTGTAAATCCCTGGGGCAAAACTGTCCATCGATACTGTTATTTTCAACCAGAGTGAGGGTCCTCCCATTCAAAGTCTATCTTTGCTAGTGGGCAAGCCCAGAAGGCATCCTTTAGATCTATTACTGTGAACCACTCATGGTTGTAAGGAATTTTACTAATAATAGCATAAGGATTAGGATCGACAGAGTGAGTTGTTTGAACTATTTGATTAATAGATCGAAGATCTTGCACTAGCCGATATGACCCCTCTGGCTTTTTCACAGGCAGTATGGGAGTGTTATAAGGAGACATACAGGGTTCAATGAGTCCACCATGGAGAAGGCTTTCTATTGTGGGCTTTAAATTGATCTTAGCTTCTAAGGGAATTGGATATTGTTTTCTTTTTACCTCTTGCCCCAGGTTTTTCAATTTAACTTGGATTGGGGAAATTTGTAACTTTCCTCAGTTTCCTTCCTTTGACCATACATCTGGATGGATGTATCCCTCATTTAGAGTAGCAAGCAAATTTAAGGAGGGGAGGAGATTTCCTTGATTAACACAAAGGCCTAGGTTTAATTTTAGCATTAAATCTCTTCCTAATAGGTTTGTTCCTGCCTCCAGGATTAACAGAAGTTTAATATTTACTGAGTGGTTCTGATATTTAATTTTTGTTTCTTCTAAGACTTTTGCTTTAAACCCCTCCCCTTTTGCTCCCAAAATAAAAAGTTCTTCTTGTGACCAAGTTACACCAGGGGGAAGATAACAAACTGAGGAATCAGCAGCTCCTGAGTCAATTAAAAAGGTCTGGGTCCCACCTCTAAATTTATCAAGGAGTCTTGGTGGGACTCGAGGTAAAAAGAGTAGAGCCCCTGGCCCCCCATTCCTCCTCAAAGATCATAAGTGGGTGATTTCTTTTTCTTTTTTCCATTCAGGGCATTCTCTTTAAAGTGACCTTCCTTCCCACATTTGAAGCATTTATTCTGCCCTATTCCTCTTTTTATTCCCTTGTTCCCTGGTTTGATTCCTTTACCTCCATTATAGAGTCTGGCAGTCGGGTACCTAAAAGATTTACCGGCGATATTTCTTTGAGCTGTCTATTGGGGAGTTCCCTGCTTTAAGAACAGCATAATCTTTGCCTTGTGCTTTTGCTTTTCTTCATCCCTTCGTACATACACCTTTTGGGCCTCCCTTAAGAGTTCCTTTATGGGACAGTCCTTTCAATTTTCTATCTTTTGTAATTTCTTGGTAACGTCTGGCCAGCTATTTGTGACAAAGTGAAGCTTTTAACATTCCTTGTCCAAGTGGGTCTCCTCCATCTAAACCAGCATATTTCCTCATTTGTTCCTTAAGCCTATTAAAATATTCCATAGGCCCCTCTTCTTTTCCTTGCTGTATATTAAAAGCTTTGGTCATATTCTGGGTGCAGGGTACTGATTATCTAATTCCTTTTATTATCATTTCTTGCAGGTCTCTCATATTCCTCCTATGAGCTATGTTGTTGTTATCCCACTGGGGATCTTGAGCAGGAAATTTCTGTTTGGCTGCAGGGACGTTTTGACCGGGAGGATGCTCACACTCCCAAATGGTCATAGCGGCCCTATGCATCATGCTCCTTTCTTCCCCTGAAAAAAGGATGCCTATGATGGACATAAACTCAGCCACAGTATACAACTGGGGTGCTAAAAATTGATCAATTTGATCTGCCACTCCATAGGGATCATCTAAGAGTGGCTTGAGTTCCCTCTTCAAGCTCTGGACTTCCGAACTGGTCAGGGGAGCATTTAAAAAGCCAATGCCTGCTCCTCCTAGAGGCACTTCCCTCAGTGGGAAGAGGTTTGTAGCCAAACCCCTAGAGGAAGGGGGAAAAGGGAAGTTTTGGATATCATTTTTACATTGTTCTAACTCACGTTGAAGTCTTCCTGAGGGAGGGCATTCAAGCTGGGGATGACCCCAAGAATCAGGGTTAAAAGGAGGGAAAAAATGTCTGAGTAGGGGAAAGGTCTGGGACTGTTATTTCTACTGAAGGGGGAGGTGGGGGATGTTGGTCTACTGGGTGGGGGGAAGAAGTTTTGTTGGGGGAAGATGGTCTAAGGCGTCCCACGTGTTGGTGGGGTTCTTGGAGTAAGGGGTATTAATTTCATGAGAAGTAGTTTCTGGCTTGTCTCCTTTGGTTTTTAGATGACAAAGGAGGATGGGCCCTTGCTGCCAACACAGAGCATAATGTATTTCCTCCTGGGAAACAGGACTCTTATCATTTACACATTCTATTAAAAGTTGGCAAGTCCAAGCCTCATTTGACCCGAATTTTGGCCAGAAAACTGAAGGCTTTAGAATAGGTTCCTTGGTCCAAATGAAACAATAATACTTTATCATCTGTTGCTTTTTCTTATGTTTAGTCCTCTTGTATCCTTCCAATATTTTAACATGAGTCCTAAAGGACTATCAGAGGTGATTTCACTGTTTGCCTTTTCCTTTTTACCTTCTGTCTTACTCAGGGTATTTCCCATGTTGAATACTGGTTAGGCTCAGTCCCTCGAACTAGAGATTTCTTGCCTATCCTTCCCTGGAGGTTTAACCCCCACCCTGGAGGTTTCTTGCAATCTTCTCCTTTTGCTTCATCCACTCTGGCTGCTTTCCCAGAGGAAATTAGGCTCCCCTTAGCATCAGCAGGACTGTATGAACCCCAATGTCAGGATCCCTACAAGAGGGCCATCATAAGCCACATGAGGTGACCACGGAACCACAGATTGAACTCACTCACTCTGCACAGCAGTAGTGCTTGTTACCTTTCACACCCTTTAACCTCCAGAATATCCCGACCACCAAGGAAATACTGTTGCCCTTGTGACTTTTTTTACCTTGGTCTCTGCACAGAGTTAGCTGGTCATCGTGGTACTTGTGGGCCTTCTCCTTCCACATTGCTGAGAGCCTGAATTTATTCATCACAATGGGTAGTCTCAATCTCCCGTCCCTGGGGCCACTGCAGTGGGGTACACCTCCCCTAGATGGGGTGACCAAAGACCCCTTCCCATAGGAGAATGGGAATCCTGGAAGAGCCCCCATAAAATAGTTAGAAATAAAGCTTGGAGTCACAAAGGAAATGAACACTTGATCAAAGGATTTCTCAGCAAGGCAATTTTTACTTCTGCAGAAGGCTGCTACCTGTAAGCCTGATTGCCACGAGAGCAACCAGAACAAAGGAAAGCAGGGGTTTTTATTCCTAACGCAATTTGTTTCTACTATTGTGTCCTGTCTCCATTGGCTGGAACTGGACCACACAATCTAAACTGATCCCAGTTGGCTAAAAACTTAAACTTTCCCAAATAAGGTAAAGGCGCAATGGGGAACCAAGGAAAGGAGGGGGTCGCTTATGGGAAACCAGGAAGACAATAATATTTCCAAATAAGGAAAGAGCATAGGCTGCAAGCTGTGACATGTCTGGGCGTGTCCAGGCAGATCCAGGCAGACTAGGGAACAAAGGAGTTAGGCCTTGGTTCAAGTACAAGAACATAGAATGTGTTTATTTGTTTACTGTATGTAACAACTCCTTTGGGGCACAATAAAGAGTCATTAGTAAAATAGAAGATTTGTTAGTATGAAGAGCGAGGGAAACTTAAAGGAAGCTTTTAAGAGGAACTATCTTCTTAAGACTTATCATTCTAAACCAAAAAGGAAAACTTTGAAGAGGAACTTTTATTCTTAATAAATTTTCTCTCTTTTTTTCTGGGTTTGTTTAGCTAGTGGTTTATCAATTTTGTTTATGTTTTTGAAGAACAAACTTTTCACTTTGTTGATCATTTACATGGTTTTTAAAAGTCTTTATTTCTACTATGATCTTTATTATTTCTTTTCTGCTAATTTTGTATATTTTTTTTCTTGCTTTTCTGGTTCCATGAGGTTCATTGTTATATTGTTAATTTGTAATGTTTCTACTTTTCTTAGGTGGGTATTTATTGCTATAAACCTCCCTTTTAGCCCTGTTTAGCTGTATCGCACAGGTTTTGGTATGTTGTGTTTCCATTTTCATTTATTTCAAGAAACTTTTTGATTTACATCTTAATTTCTCTGTTGACTCAATGGTTATTCAGGAGCAGGTTGTTTAATTTCCATGTATTGGTCTTGTTGCCAACATTTCTCTTGGTGTATATTTCTAGTTTTATTCCATTGTGGCCAGAGAAGATATTTAATATGATTTCAATTTTTGAAAATTTGTTGAGACTTGTTTTGTGGCTTAACATAGGCTCTCTCCTGGAAAATGTTCCATGTGTTCATGAAAAGAGTGTATATTCTGTAGTGTTAGACAGAATGCTCTGTAAATATCTGTTAGCTTTATTTGGTGTAAAATTCAGTTTAAATCCAATGTTTCTTTCTTGATTTTCTGTGTAGGTGATCTGTCTTATGCTGAGGTTGGGATGTTGAAGTCCCCCACTATTATTGTATTGGAGTCTATCTCTCTTGTTAGATGTAGTAATATTTGTTTTATGAATCTAGTGCTCCAATGTTTAGTGCATATATATTTAGAATTGTTCTATTCTCTTCTTGGATGGATCTCTTTATGATTATGTGATGGCCTTCCTTATCTTTTAAAAAAATTGTTCTTGACTTACAGTTTATTTTATCTGCTATAAGTATAGCTACTCCTGCTCACTTTTGGTTTCGATAGATAACCTGTTGCCATTCTTTTACCTTCTGTCTCTATGATTGTGGTGAGGTGGTATTACCAGTGAGTTTTTTTGTAAGCAGAATGTAGTTAGATCATGTTTTCTACCCATTCAGCCATTCTACATCTTATAAGTGGAGAATTTAATCTGTTTACATTCCAGATTTTTATTAATATGTGAGGCTTTGTGCTGAGACCAACTCAGCTGGGGAGACCCTAACCCAGCGGCGCTAGAGAAATTAAAGACACACACACAGAAATATACAGGTGTGAAGTGGGAAATCAGGGGTCTCCCAGCCTTCAGAGCTGACAGCCTCGAATAGAGATTTACCCCCGTATTTATTAACTCAAGCCAGTGATAAGCATTGTTTCTATAGATTATAGATTAACTAAAAGTATTCCTTATGGGAAACAAAGGGATGGGCCAAAATAAAAGGATAGGTTTGGCTAGTTATCTGCAGCAGGAGCATGTCTTTAAGGCACAGATCGCTCATGCTATTGTTGGTGGTTGAAGAACAACTTGAAGCAGTTTTCTGCCCTGAGTGGGCCAGGTGTTCCTTGCCCTCATTCTGGTAAACCCACAACCTTCCAGTGTGGGCGTCATGGCCATCATTAACATGTCACAGTGCTGCAGAGATTTTGTTTATGGCCAGTTTTGGGGCCAGTTTATGGCCAGATTTTTGGGGTCCTGTTCCCAACAGCTTTGTTCCTTTCACATTGTTGTTCTCTGGTTGTTTTATATGTCTTTTGTTATTGTCTTTTTCTCTTATTGCTTGTCATTATGCTTTGGTGGATT
This sequence comes from Homo sapiens, assembly GCF_000001405.40. Lineage (NCBI taxonomy): Eukaryota > Metazoa > Chordata > Mammalia > Primates > Hominidae > Homo > Homo sapiens. Next base: position 2,681,479 of record NT_167247.2, read on the forward strand.
TCTGTAGTAGGACCATCTGAGAACTTTCTCTTCCTCTTTTGTGTGATTGCTTTACCAGTGAGTTTTATACTTGTGTATGTTCTCATGGTGATAATGTGGAAATGTTGAAAATGTTGTCCTTTCAATTCCAGGTTTAGGACTTTCTTGAGCATTTCCTGTAGGCCCTGTCTAGTGGTAATGAAGCCTTTCAGCATTTGCTTGTCTTGGAAAGATAATTTCTTTTTCAATTATGAAGAATAATTTATGTTTGGTTTATTACTCTTGGCTTGGCAGTTCTTTTCTTTCAGGACTTTGATTATGCTATCCTATTCTCTTCTGGCCTGTAAGATTTCTGCAAGAAATCTGCTGTTAGAGCTGGGCACAGTGGCTCACACCTGTAATCCCAGCACTTTGGGAGGCTGAGGTGGGCGGATCATGATGTCAAGAGATTGAGACCATCCTGGCCAACTTGGTGAAATCCTGTCTCTACTAAAAATACAAAAAAAAAAAAATTAGCTGTGTGTGGTGGCATGTGCCTGTCATCCCAGCTACTTGGGAGGCTGAGGGAGGAGAATCACCTGAACCCAGGGGGCAGAGGTTGCAGTGAACCGAGATCACGCCACTGCACTCCAGCCTGGCAGCACAGCGAGACTCCGTCTCAAAAAAAAAAAAAAGAAAGAAAAAAGAAAAAGAAATCTGCTGTTAGTCTGATGGGGTTTCCTTTATAGGTGACTAAACACTTTCCTCTTGCTATTTTTAGGATTTGCATTTTACCTTATACTATAGAAAGTCTGATTATATGCCATGGAGAGGAACTTTTTGCATTGTATTTTTCTCAGAATTGTTGAATATTTTGTATCTGAATGTCTAAATCACTTGCTAGAGTTGGGAATTATTCATCTATTCTTTCATTAAATAGGTTTTCTAATCTGTTCTTTGTCTCTTCGCTCTTGAGGATACCAATAATTTGAATATTTGGTTGTTTATATTGTACCAAATGTCACAAAGGCTTTGCTCATTCTTTTTTTGTGTGTGTTTTTGTCTTATTGAATTATTTCACAATGTATATCTTCAAGTTTTGGAATTCTTCCTTCTGCCTGACCTAGTATATTGTTGAAGCTTTCAAATGTATTTGGAATTTCATGTCATGTATTCTTTAATTCCAGAATTTCTGTTGTTTTTTTTTAAATCTATATCTTTTGTAAACTTCTTATTTGTATCCTGAATTATTTTTATGTTTTCTTTGTATTTTTTTTTTCAGAATTCTTTTGTATCTCACTGAACTTCTGTAAAATAAATGTTTTGAGTCCTTTATCTAGAATCTTGAAAATTTCTTTTTGATTAAGATCTATTGTCTTCCTTTGCGGCTTTTTTTTTCTTTTTTGCTTTTTCATGTTTCTGTGTCCTAACATTAATATTTTTGCATCTGATATAACAGTCAGTTCTTCCTATTTTTGAATTTTGTTTCATAGTGGAGAGCATTTTCCTGAAGATGAGTCTATGGTGTTGGTTGCCTGGGGTACTTTGGATTTGATTCTGGGTGTAGTACATAGTAGAGTACTATGGTCTCTGTATAATTTCTTTGGCTGTAGACAGTGTTAATGGTATCTGTGATTTCTTCTGTGCATTAGGGTGTGGTTATTAGTGAGGCTGTGGTGAAAATGTGCTGGGGACTGGGATGCCACATGAGACAGTCTTCAGGCTCCAGTGGTGGCAGTGGTGTGCTGAGTGTTCCTATCTTTGTGCCCCAAGGTGGTATATACTGGCATTTGTATTGGTGGTTACTGGTGGGCTGATTCCTGGACCTCCAGGTGGCTTGCTTGGATGGCAGTAGTGGCAGTGGTTGACTCGGTAGGTGCTGGGGACTTCAGCTCCTGGGCAACCAGCTTGGCAGTGGCAGTCGTGGGCTGCTTCTCTGGGTCCCAAGCAGTGTGCATTGTTAGCAGCAGATGCGATAGGCTGGGTGGGATGCCCATAGGTGGTGTTTGCAGGTAGGTGATAGCTAAGGTGATTGCATCCAACCTCAGGTACCCAGGAGGAGTGCACAGGTGCCCAAGGTGGTGGATTGGGTTGAGGAATTCCCAGGCCCTGGGGCTGTGTTCTCTGTCTCAGTGGGAGGGGGCGATGAAGCTGTCTCTTCATCGTTAAATGCTGTGCCAACTAGTCCCTTAATTTCTTTTTGCCTATAGGACTGAAACATTTATTATAGTTTAGGTCTGCTGGTTATTTTTTCACTCCCTGTATGTCTAAAATCCATTTGTTTGTTTGTTTGTTTGTTTGTTTGTTTATTTTTGAGACAGAGTCTCACTCTACTGCCCAGGCTGGAGTGCAATGGTGTGATATTGGCCTACTGCAACCTCCGCCTCCCATGTTCAAGTGATTCTCCTGCCTCAGCCTCCTGAGTAGCTGGGAATTACAGGAGCATGCCACCATGCCTAGCTAATTTTTGTATTTTTAGTAGAGACGAGGTTTCACCATGTTGGTCAGGCTGGTTTTGACTCCTGACTTCGTGATCTACCTACCTTGGCCTCCCAAAGTGTTGGGATGACAGACATGAGCCACCATGCCTGGCCTAAAATCCCTTTATTTTTTGATAGATATATTCAAGGTGTGTTAGCTTAATTTAATCATTACATAGGGTACACATATATCAATACATCAAACAATATCTCATGAATGTATTATACTTTGTCAATTAAAACTATACATATATATTTGAAAAAGGTATTATTTTCTGGGAATAGAATCTAGTTTCACAGCATTTTCCTTTTAGGACTCTAAAGATGTTGCTCATCTGTCTCCTCATTTGCATTGTTTCCAATGAAATAACTGCTGTCATCTTTATTATTATTCTTATTTTTTTCACTTTCTGCTTTTTCAATTTTCTCTTCTTCTGTGGTTTTCAACAAATACGTGCTTTTTTTTTTACCCAGAATTATAGAGTGAATGTGAGAAACAATCTCTAGCGAGGGCTTTTTGACTATTTGTTATAAATTTTTAGAAACAGTTGTTTGCTCCTTGTTTTATTAGATCACAGGCTAATTTCCTCAGAGTATTCTTATATTGAAGAATGTCATAATTAATTTTACTGATCATCCCTAAAACCATAAAAACCCTAGAAGAAAACCTAGGCAATACCTTTCAGGCCATAGGCATGGGCAAGGACTTCATGACTAAAACACCAAAAGCAATGGCATCAAAAACCAAAATTGACAAATGGGATCTAATTAAACTAAAGAGCTTCTGCACTGCAAAAGAAACTACCATCACAGTGAACAGGCAACCTACAAAATGGGAGAAAATATTTACAATCTACCCATCTAACAAAGGGCTAATATCCAGAATCTACAAGGAACTCAAACAAATTTACAAGAAAAAATCAAACAACCCCATCAAAAAGTGGGCAAAGGATATGAACAGACACTTCTCCAAAGAAGACATTTATGCAGCCAACAGACACATGAAAAAATGCTCATCATCACTGGCCATCAGAGAAATGCAAATCAAAACCACAATGGTATCCCATCTCACACCAGTAAGAATGGCGATCATTAAAAAGTCAGGAAACAACAGGTGCTGGGCGACAGAGCGAGACTCCATCTCAAAAAAAAAAAAAAAAAGAAAATGTGTCACATATACACCATGGAATACTATGCAGCCATAAAAAGGATGAGTTCATGTCCTTTGCAGGGACGTGGATGAAGCTGGAAACCATCATTCTGAGCAAACTATCACAAGTGTCCAAGTGTTCTCATTGTTCAAACTATCACAAGGACAGAAAACCAAACACCGCATGTTCTCACTCATAGGTGGGAATTGAACAATGAGAACACTTGGACACAGGGGGGAACATCACACACCGGGGCCTGTCGTGGGGTGGGGGCAGTGGGGAGGGATAGTACTAGGAGAAATACCTAATGTAAATAATGAGTTAACAGGTGCAGCAGACCAACATGGCACATGTATACATATGTAACAAACCTGCACGTTGTACACATGTACCCTAGAACTTAAAGTATAATAATAAAAAAAAATTTATTGGTCATCTTGGGTAAAGCATCGTGCCTGGAGAGGTGGTCAAGCATTATTCTGGATGATTTGTGAGGATGTTTGTTGGATGAGATTAACACATAAATAGCCAGACTTTGAATAAAGTAGATTAATGTCTATAATGTGAGTGGGCTTCATTCAATTCACTGAAGGTGTAAATTAAACAAAACACTGACCTCTCTTGAGCAAGATGGAACTCTGTAGCAGACAGCGCTGGGATTTGAACTGCAGTATCAGTCAACTGACCCACTAACAGCTGGTTGGTTTGTGTACAGCATTTGCAAGATGAATGGACAACATACTGTTTGGAAGTCCACCTCTTTGATCAAAGAAGGTAAAAACAGAAAAGCTGTTGTGGACTTAATTGCATGGTGTTTTCTTAGCAGTGGTGGAAGAATTGAACAATGATAAAGCTCCTACGTTTTAGTTTTTACTGACTTACAGGGAGTGACTAATGGCCTGGCCGTATAATTAATCAGGAAAGCAATGAAAAACTTGCCTATGAAAAGAATGCCCATATGAGCCAAGTCCCACAGAAATCACTATGGTAATTTGAGGGGTTCATTAATGTAAGATCTGTTGATGCCTGATATAGATTGGATGTTGTTCTTGTGCAGATCTCATGTCGAGATGTGATCCCCAGCATTATAGGTGGGGCCTGGAGGGAGGGAGGTGGTTGGATCACGAGGTCAGTTTCTCATGAATGGTTTAGCACCGTCCCCTCAGTGCTGTTCAGTGTCCTTCAGAATAACTCCCTTTCAGGTTTGGAAAGTGATTGAAATCAACAAGAATTTATCTCCAAGTGTTTGCCAGGTGCACTTGTAATTCCAGCTATGAGAGCGGCTGAGGCAGAAGGATATCTTGAGTCCAGGAGTTAGAGTTTAACCTGAGCAACATTTGAGGCCAGCCAGGGAAACATATCAAGACCACATCTCAAAAACAACAACAACAAAAAATCCAGGTTTGCTTGTGGTGATCACCTGAGTCCATGAAATAAGTAGACATTGGGGCTGTAGCAATGCAGAGATAGGTGGAATCAAGACATAGTCCTCTTGCATTCCACACATCACAGGCACAAAATACACATAAGAAGTCCTTTCTTTAACAAAAAAAAAGAGAGATAGCATATGGCTATGTGGCAGATTCTTTTATGGGAGGGCCTTGAAAATACATAGCTGGCAAGTTAGACTGATACCAGTAGCCCCAGGAAGCAGCAAACGGGTCTTGGCAGGAATAGATCCTCACCCTGGAGTGGGCTTTGTTCAGCTGGTGGTAGGTGTGTTACCAAACTGAACTGGGGTCCACTCACCTGGGGCAGTAAAAGCAAACATCCACACTGAGATTGTAGTGGGACAAAGGAGGGCATTTATGTGTAGGGCGCCAAACAAGGAGAATCAGGCAGCTCACGCTTAAGACCCAACTTTTTGATGGCTCACAAGCAAGAATTTTTAAAGGCAGGGGCAAATTTCGGGAAAGCAGAGTTACAGGCAACATCATAAATCAATGCATACAAGTTACACTGCTTTGGCCTTAAAAGGTAGAATATCCTGATGAGGGAGCTTACAGGTCTTAGGTAGATTTAAAGATTCTCTGATTTGTGATAGATAAGGAAGCAAAGCTTCTTTACACAGCTTCCTTACACAGTTGGGGGCAGTAGAGAGGAATGTTCAGGCCTGGCCTGTGGGCTTGACTCTCTCCAGGTCCCTCAGGAAGAAATTTAGAACAAAGAACGGCGGTCAGAGTTCAGTTCTCAGTTTCCCCTTTATAAGGTCTCCCTGTCAGTGGATCTATTAGGAGGGAATCCATGTTTCTGAAAAACAACTCAGGGACATATGTTAAGATGTTATTTTTAGTTTCTATAGAGAATGAAACATCTTGTGACTCTAACTTCCTTGGCTATTGTTTCAAGCTATCATTCCTTCTTGCTTATAAGGTCACCGACTTACTTTTTAGGGCTGGCTAGGTGCCTGGAATTTCTCTTGAAGGAACTGAAGGTTTTTCTTTATTTCCAGATTGGGAGGCCCCGGCAGGCTTCTAAAAGAGGTCCCTGCTTTATCTCAGATGCAAATGCTCGAGTGTTACAAAAGAACTTGAATGGGAGGTACTGCAACCACGTGGACCACCGAGTCATATTTCTTTACACCAGAAAATGCACCTGCTCAAAATGTCCAACAATGGTCACAGAGAGATATCCTCCTCAGAGGAAGAGTTCCATAGAGAATTAAAATAGTCAATTGGGTGTGTAAAGGAAAGAGTGGGGAAACAAGCACAAAGGGTGGGCTTATACACCTTCATGAGTGTGCTCACACTTGACATGAGAGTATCCTCTCTTTTCCTGGTGGATCAGGGGAAGGTGCTGGTATGATCTACATATATTCCTCCCCAAGGTGGGAGGACACTGGAATGATGACTGTAATTCACCTCAACTTGCTTTTCTCATACCTGATGCAGTGGTCCCAGGACTAGGGATGCAAATAGAGTTCAGAAACAGGAATTATTCCTAAGCAAGAAACTGTAAATATATTTTATGTCCATTATGTAATAATTCCTAAGGGCCTGTAGAAGTAGGTTGTGCCTTCACTGCATCTGGCAAAGTTGGGGCTAACACTGAATGCAGCTATATTGCCTGGGATCAGATAGCCAACCAGTTCTCTACCTGTATAACCCTACCCTCTATGAACTGGAATGGATGACGGGAGACACTTGCTAGAACTCTATTGGTCCCTGCAGTCTCAGCCAGCACAGCAGCAGAAGCTAGTGTTCCTTCCAAAATTATAAATGTTTAGTATAAATGAAGGGAAGGAGAAATAGTAGCTGAGGGTAAATGAATGAATAAATGGGTTATGTAATGAGGAAAATCCAATGTTACATGAACTACTTGAAAAAGGTATAAGCAAGAGATGATATTGTCTCTTAGCTCAATTTTACCAGACGCCTGAAAGGGTGCAGCCATATGTTGCTGAAACTATTCCTGTTTATGGATTGCACTGGGATCATTGTTAATGACCAAAGAGGATTCTGGTAATGTGCCAGGATCTTTTCACTGTTATGATTCTTCTGGTGTAGGAGATCTGTGATTGGCCAGGCACAGTGGCTCACACTTATAATTCCATCAGTTTGGGAGGCAATGGTAGGAACATTGTTTAAGTCCAGGAGTTTGAGACCAGACTGGGCAGAATAGTGAGACCCATTCCTACAAAATATTTAAAAATTAGTTGGGCATGTTGGTGTGCACCTGTAATGCTATCTACTCAGGAGGCTGAGGCAGAAGGATCACTTGAGTCCAGGAATTCGAGGTTAGAGTGAGCTATGATTGTGCCACTGCATTCTACCCTGGGCAACAGAGCAAGAGATTATCTCTAAAATAAAATAATAAATATTATAAAAAGAGATAATGTGGTCAAAACCAGGGTGTGATCTGTGGTCCAATAAAAATATTTGGTCTTTTCCCTGTTTCCTGACAACCAGGTTCTAAAACATTTGCAATCTCCTCAGTGATAAACATGAGTTCAATATGGCAATGAGATGACTATGGGGTGAGGGGCTCCTAGATAGCTTCAGGATGGGGGCTGGTTGCCAGAAACACGAAGTTGTGATTAGAGGATTGGAACTGTTAACCCCATCCCTAAAGTCTGGGAAGGAAAGAGAGGTTCGAGGTTGAGTTCAGTCACACAATGACCAGTGATTTAATTAGTCTTGCCTCCACAATGAAATTTCCATAGAAACCTCTGGAGATTGGGTTTCGGAGAGCACATCTGTGTGTCCACATGCTGGGAGGATGGTGAGCCCCATCTCCATGGGGACAGAGGCTCCTGTGCTCAGAGCCCTTCCAGGCCTCACCCTGTGCACCTCTTCATCTGGCTGCTCCTTGGTATCCTTTATAACTGCTATGGTTTGAATGTTTCCCCCAAAAAAGCATCTGTTGGATATTTCATCCCAAATGCAACATTTTTAAGAAATGGGACTTTTGAGAGGTGATTGGACCATCAGAGCTCTGCCTTCATTCATGGACTAAGGCTCATGATAAAAGGACCTGAGGCTGTGAGTTTGACTTCCTTTTCCCCCCACCTCTCACCCTCTCTTGTCCTTTTGTTTTCTACCAGATAGAGTCCCTTGATCTGGGAATTCTCATCCTCGACACCATGAACGAGACAAATTTCTGTTTGTTATAAGTTATCCAGTCTCAGGAGTTCTGCTCTAGTGGCATAATTTAAACCAGGGGTCCTTAACCCCCGGGCTGCGGACTGGTACAGGTTCCTGGCCTGGTAGGAACCAGACTGCACAGCAGGAGGTGATCAGTGGGTGAGAGAGCATGAGCATGACACCAGAGTTCCGCCTCCTGTCAGATCAGTGGCGGAATTAGATTCTCATAGAAGCACGAACCCTATTGTGAACTCTGCATGCGAGAGATCTAGGTTGCATGCTCCTTATGAAGCGCTAATGCCTGATCATCTGAGGTACAACAGTTTCATCCGAAACCATTTCCCTCTGCCCTCCACCACCTCCACTAGTCCATGGAAAAACTGTCTTCCATGAAACCGGTCCCAGGTGCCAAAAAGGTGGGGATTTAAGCTATAACAATAAAAAACTGCAATACTGAGTGTGAAAAGAAAATAAAATTTCAGGACTCCAAATTCACTATACCAAAAGGAAAAATTAAGTTTGGAGACTGATGGAAAAACTGCCTTTCTTTCGTTCCTAAACAAATAACTGCAAAGATAGAAGACCACATATCTCCCCAGGTGGCCTCCCTCACAAACTGCTCACAAGATAATTCCTTGTGGGCCCCAACGTGTTTACCCTAAAACAGTTTTGTTGAATTTTCCCCTGACAATGTAAATTAACAGCTTATCTTCACAGGTACAGGACAAAGACAAGACTAGAAATCATCCCTCCACCCACCCAGAGTCAAACGCATATTTGACTTTTCCACCCAATGTTTACTTTATCTTATTTAAAATGCAGATTTACTGAGCATGAGATGAATGCATAGTTGACTATTTTTTTCCTCTCCTGGCTGCTCTTTCCCCTGTACATATTGAAGTCCTCAAAAGCCTGTTAGGAAAGAGCATGGGCCACAGATGCTACAATGATTTGTGTCTCTGTTTCCAAGGTGCGTCTTCAGCTTGGCAAAATAAACTTCTAAACTGACTGAGACCTGTCTCAGACGTTTTTTGGTTTACACGGCTATAGCAACTTCCTGAGTTCTTTGAGTTAGTTTAAGAATTCTCAATCCTTGGGAGGTGAGAAACCCCTGACTTTGCAGCCATGTTAGACAGAAGTGCAGGTAACCTGGGACCCGATACTTGTGACTTGCTTCTGAAGTGAGGACAGACTTGTAGGACTGAGCTGGTAAACCTGTAGAGTCTGAGGCGAACTCCAGGTAGTTAGTGTCAGAATTGAGTCAAATTGTGGGACTCCCAGCTGCTGTTGGAGAATCAGAAAGTTATTTGGGTGGAAGAAAACCCCATCACCATCCCACAGAGAGAAACTTATAGTAAGAGTAAGCAAGTAAACCTCTACCTTCTTTGGTCCCAGAGGAAAAGATAAACAAATGTAAGCATTTGTTTCATGTCCCTAAACACAGGTTGCTACCAGCTGTTCATTGTCTAGACGTGGAGTGGTCCTACCTTTAATCTAGAAGTTAGGATTTTTTAGGCCTTTGAGGGTGTCACATAAAAACTAATAAATGTTAGAGATTCTCTCCCCAGAAATATTTCCACACACAAGAAAATATAAATATTAATATAAAACATCGTGTGGAACCAGAACCTCTGATATCTTACAAACCTGGGAGTTTTAATCCTAGTAAGAGTCATGCTGAGGGAAGAGGTTTGAATAATCATTTCATCATTACAGAATGCCACTCCAATAATCTAGACTATAAACTGGGATAGACAAAAACTTGATGTAAACCTATCCTCAAGGGAATGGGTGGAAATATGTTATTTATTAGTCACTGGTTCATTCAGCCACTCTTCGTGCCTACTGGGTACTAGATAAAGTTCTCGTCCTGGATCACTGCTCCAAGAATTAAAATTTGTCACTTTTCCCCACCCCTCACACTCCAGCACTTGAACCCGCTTACTACATCAAAATTCCACACTGTCAATGAAAAGAGTCAAACGCAGTAACATATTTAAAGAGATTTATTCTGAGCCAAAAATGAGTGACCACAGCCCATGACACAGCCCTCAGGAGACCGAGAACATGTGCTCAAGGTGGTTGAGGCACAGGTTGGTTTTACACATTTAAGGAAGATATGAGACATCAATCAAATACATGGTTTTACACATTTAAGGAAGATATGAGACATCAATCAAATACATTTAAGCTATACATTGGTTCGGTCCAGAAAGTTGGAACAATTTGAAGCAAGCAAGGGTTGCGGGGTAGTGCTTCTGGGTTATAAGTAGATTTTTAATTTTTCTGATTGGCAATTGGTTATTATCAATAGAAAGGAATGTCTGGGTTATGATAAAAGGTTGTGGAGTCCAAAATTCTCATACAGATGACGCCTCCAGGTGCCAGGCTTCAAAGAGAATAGATTGTAAATGTTTCTGATCAGACTGAAGGTCTGTGTTGATGGTAAATGCTGGTCAACTTTTCCTGAATTCCAAGAGGGAAGAGGGCATAATAAGACATGTTCAATACCTGCTTCCCATGGTGGCCTGAGCCACTCTTTCAGGTTAACTTTTGAGCACCCTGGCTGAGGGTGTCCATTAAAATGATTGGGAAGGGGTGGCTTTGATGTTTATTTTTGGTTTACAACATGTAAAATGTTGAGAGGAGACAGACACCACCTCCCTCCCTGGAAGAGGACAACAACACTCCAGTCACCCCTGCAGTTGATCATGGACATGAATTTTAAGCTCCACCAGTCTGATGACCACCTGCTGAAGAGGTGTCATTGTCTCAGGTAAATACTAAGTGTTCGTCATCTCACGCCAAGAAGATTAAGGACACTGACACACGAGGAGTGAGTTAGGATCAAAGGGTTTAATAGGCAAAAGAAAGACAAAGGGAAACAGCTCCTTCTTGTGAGAGAGAGGGGCACCCAAAAGGGAATTCCAGCCTGGAATGGAGTGCATCGGATTTTACAGGCAGGCTTGAGGAGATGGTGTCTGATTTATGTAGGGCCCACAGGTTGGTTGTACCAGGTGTGATATTTACATAGTGCGTGTGGAAGGCTGTTCACCCCACCCTCATCCTATTATGCAAATGGGCTTTCCACTTGGCCGGTGACATGTTGTCTGCTCCTTACTATAAACGTGCCTGGCAAAGAGAAGGGAAGATGGAGCCGCCATAGTGAACATGCCCAGTCCCAGGCGTCCTATTCCTATTGGACAGCTGCTGGCATTCACCCGTGCAAACTTCCAGCTTACTTGTCTATGTCTGAAGCTTGATATTACAGGCTGCTCCTTGTTAGAAAAGAAAATAATTTGGAGCCTGCTTTCCATTAAAAGCCTTGCGTACCCTCACTACCTGTCTAAATAATTTCTTCTTAACTCCTATATCACTGCCAGACTCAGCCAGAATGAGGTGACAGAGAGGCTAGGACTGTGCAGAAAGCATTTTAGTAAAGATGGCTGAGTGACAGTAGTGATGTCCAATTTCCAGGTGCAGCAGTGACATCTGTCCTAGCCTCAGGGTCCAGTGTCCAGCACCAGGATGTCAGAGGTGTGAGCAGTGCTGTCTGTGCTCAGCAGCAGGGGCAGTTGTTCCTAGGAGGGACCTGATCCAGGGTGGGCTGTGAATTCTGTTCTTGGATGTGTAGTTTCCAGCCTGGTTCTGTGGCCTTCCCCACAATAAAACTAGCCCCCAATACCAATATACAACTTTATGTGTACATTACAGAAATTTGGTTTCCATAGTTTTCTCCAAGAAGTGAGTGAGAAATGAGTCTGCGGGCGAGTGTCAGAGAGCGGCATTCAGAGGTGTTCTTTGTGCGAGAGCCACATCCTGAATTGTCTACCTGGCCTCTACCCCATGGTGGAGAGAACAACAGAGAATATCACCTCTCATAACTGATGATATACAGCCTCCCTTTTCTTTCTGTGAGAAAAATCCTCTTTTCAACAGGGTTTGAAAACCCACCCCACCCACCCACCCTGGGCACTCTCTGATCACTGATCTCAGTGGCTCCCAATCTGTCTGAGCAATAGGATTGCTGGTGGGGACTTAGAAAATACACAGGCCACTCCCCAGAACCCTTGTCTCAGAGAATTATGCACAAGACCAAGGAATCATTTATATGACAAGCCCTAGAGGTGAGGCTGATGCTCAGACGTGTGGGATCCTGGTGTTCTTGCTACTCCAAGTGTGATCTGGAGACCAGCAACATGAGCTCCAGCCTTGTCATAAATCCAGAATCTCTTGCTCAACTCCAGACTTCCAGGATCTCAGCACCACATCCAGATGATCCTGGTGCACATGGGGTTTCCTTGTCTGAGTGTCCTCTAGACATGGGGCCAGAACTGTGCAGTCTGCTCTGGGTGTGATCTGATCACACCCCTTAGAACTGGAGGTCCAGGGTTCAGTCCTTGTGCTCATTCTTTTCCATAGTCAGTCACTCCCTTTGTGCCTCATCCATGCTTGAGGTTTTAAGTCTCATATATATGGTGTGACCTCCTAAATCTATTTCTCCAGCCCAGTCCTTTCCCCTAAACTCTGGAGTTGTCTGTCCAAATTCCACCCAGCTCCCCCACCCGCCCTCCTAGTAGACATCTCCTCCACTGAGTGCCTGTGATGTCCCCTCTTCAGGACGCTCCTGCCAGAGTCTCCCCATCTCCACTGACAGCAGCTCCATCCTTCTACTCACTCATTTTACAACTATGGGTGTCCTTGATTCGTCTTTCTCACATCACAGATACAATCCATTGGCAAATGCTGTGAGTCCATCTTCAAATGCATCCAGAATCCCCTCACGTCCCACTATTTCCCCTGCTCACGCCCCAGTCAAGGTAACCGACATCTCCAGCCTGGAATACTGCACTTGATTCCTACTGTTTTCCCTTCTGCCTCCCTCGTCCCTTGCCTCTCAATTCTGTTCTCAGCACAGCCGTCAGAGAGATCCTTTTAAAACAGAAGTCATATCATGGCTCTCTTCTGCTCAAAACTGTCCTCTAACTCCCCATCCCACTCAGAGCAAAGGCCAGATCCAACCCCACTCCCCTCAAGCCCACCTGTTCTGGCCGCACCTCTGACCTCACCTCAGTTTCTCTCCGTCCAGCCCTCCTGGCCTCCTTGCTCTTCTGGGAACACAAACACCTTCCTGCCATAGTGCATTTGGACTGGAGCTTCCTCTGCCTGGAAAGAACTTCCCCAGACATCCTCATGTCTCTCAAATCTTTCCTCAAAAGTCACCTTTGCAACAAGGCACACACTGACTACCCAGCACAACAGCCACCTTCCCTGTCCCCACTGCCCACATCCTGGATCACCTGCCTCACAGCACTTACCACCTTCTAGCACTTTCCTTCCTTACTCTGGTTATAGTGTATCTATCGTCTGCCTCTTCCCACTGGAACATATGCCACAAAAGGCCAGAGATTTTTCTTTTACTTCAGTGGTGTTCCCCAGATGCAGAACCATTCTGTCCTATGTCTGGCCAATGACAAAGGTCAGTTGAATGAATGATCACTGTAGAGCACCTCCCTATTTTGAAGGCAGTATCTTTATTAACATAGCCTCAGGCCAAGTGCTGTTTTGTGGCAGCTGCAGCACAAGGACCCCTCACACTGAGATAGAGGCCGCCTATGTTTTTCTCAGCAGTGCTGCTTGTGTGCCCTCCCTCCCCATCCCTCTTTCTACAGCAACCCCCTCCCCGCACCCCCTGCCCCAGCACACTGCAGCACACAATCAGGTTCTCTCTTCAGGAAAGAACAGTCCTTGATGACGGGTCCAATTTCACAGACAAATGTAAGTCTAAATTAGACTCTGCTTTACAGATTCAGGAGTTGGGATTGGATTCAGCACCAAGATCACTAGAACCAGGGCAGGGAGAGAGGGCAGGAGAGCAGAGCAGAAAAGGAGCTCTAGAAGCAGGGCAGGAGGTGAATGGCTCTGAAAATTTGTCTCAGAATGCACAGAGACCCCCGTGTGCAGGGGCCACCCTGGGCGATGTGTGAGCCTCTGTGGTCACAGCTCCCACTGGACAAGTTTCCACTGAAGGGACAAGGACAATGGAGCAGTGAAGGTGACCCAGCTGACGACTAACCACATAAAGCCCATGATGGACTCAACACCAAATGGGCACAGGCCCCATCCACACTCGGCCCCCCACAGCCTTCTCCACACCCCACCTGCAACAGACTCAGCACAGCGAACATGCAGATTCTGGAAGGTTCTCAGGTCTTTATTTGCTCTTTCAAATTCCAGGAATTGACTTATTTAATTAATCCATCAACCTCTCATAGCAAATATTTGAGAAAACAAATTTATATTCAGATTCTTATTTTCAGTAGGGAAGTAAGAAGTTGCAGCTCAGTGCACATAAAGTTGAGACAGAGATGGAGACATCCAGCCCCACCTCTCTGGAACAAGAAAGATGACTGGGGAGGAAACACAGATCAGCATGGGAACAGGGGTCACAGTGGACACAAGGGTGGGCTGTCTCTCCACCTCCTCACATTATGCTAACAGGGACGCAGACACATTCAGGTGCCTTTGCAGAAAGAGATGCCAGAGGCTCTTGAAGTCACAAAGGGGAGGCGTGAAGAAATCCTGCATCTCGGTCCCTCACAAGACAGCTGTCTCAGGCTACAGAAAACAACAGTCATGAACAAATTCTGGTTAGTCATGGTAAGTGATGACACTCTGAACAGCCCACGACACACGCGAAACATCCCAATCAAAGAATCTCCATTACCCAGGCCTTTCCCCACTGCCCCACCCACCCCCAGACCCGCCACCCCACCCACTCTAGACCCCAAGAATCTCACCTTTTCAAGCTGTGAGAGACACATCAGAGCCCTGGGCACTGTCGCTG
Organism: Homo sapiens; assembly: GCF_000001405.40. Classification (NCBI taxonomy): domain Eukaryota; kingdom Metazoa; phylum Chordata; class Mammalia; order Primates; family Hominidae; genus Homo; species Homo sapiens. The sequence goes on from NT_167247.2 coordinate 2,696,498, forward strand.
GCTGGAGTAGAACAAAAACAGGACCTGGTCAGAGCCCGCAGGAGACGTGGGACAGGAGGAATTATGGGGTGGGTGAGCTCCTCCACACTCCCACCCCCACCACTTACACGCAGCCTGAGAGTAGCTCCCTCCTTTTCCACCTGTGGGAAGAAAATGTCCTGTGAGGGGACTGGGAGGAAGCAGGACCATGAGATCTTAGAGGAACCTCCTCGTCTTGGAACCAAAAGGAATTTCCAGAAGTATGACTACAGACCCAGGGCAGGATCAGGAAACACGAGGAAAGCAAGTGTGGGTCCTGGACCAACTGCCCTCCTAAGGTCTGTCCTTAGCAGGGACCTTCCCCTGACTCATGAATGCTGGAATCAGGACCCCAACACCACAACCATCAAGGCGATACATCTGTCCTTCATTGTCACATGTGCTGCACAAAAGAGTAAGTGCTGGCACACAGGGTCCCAGGCTGCGTTAGCCCCTGTGTGGATGCTGCTTCCCAGTAATGAGGCAGGGAACACTTCTACCTGGGGCTTGAAACCCCCAGTGGGACAAGAAAACCCAGACCCCACCCCTCACCCCTTCCCTACCTGAGCTCTTCCTCCTACACATCACAGTAGCGACCACAGCTCCGATGACCACAACTGCTAGGACAGCCAGGCCAGCAACAATGCCCACGATGGGGATGGTGGACTGGGAAGATGGCTCTGGGAAAGGAGGGGAAGATGAGGGGCCCTGACCCTGCTGAAGGGCTCCAGAAGGGCTCCTGCTTTCCCTGAGAACAGATATGACCCCTCATCCCCCTCCTTACCCCATCTCAGGGTGAGGGGCTTCGGCAGCCCCTCATGCTGTACATGGCATGTGTATCTCTGCTCTTCTCCAGAAGGCACCACCACAGCTGCCCACTTCTGGAAGGTTCTATCTCCTGCTGGTCTGGTCTCCACAAGCTCGGTGTCCTGAGTTTGGTCCTCGCCATCCCGCTGCCAGGTCAGTGTGATCTCCGCAGGGTAGAAGCCCAGGGCCCAGCACCTCAGGGTGGCCTCATGGTCAGAGATGGGGTGGTGGGTCACATGTGTCTTTGGGGGGTCTGATGGGAAGAGTCAGAAAATTCAGGCGCTTTGCATCTCTCATGGGACACCCTAGGACCACCCATGTGACCAGCCTGAGAATGGACAGGACACCTGGGGTGGGGAAGGGGCACAGAACCCAGACACCAGCCTGGACGCAGGCACCTGGGATAATCTCCTATTCATTGGAAAGTTCGAGTCTCTGAGCGGGGAACAGGGACTTCTGCTCCTGATCTGAGTGGAGGTAAAGTGACTCAGAAGTGCTGGAATCAGAGCCCCAAACACACTGAGTGTGAGGCAGAGAACAAGGCCTGAGAGGAAAAGTCACGGTTCCCAAGGCTGCTGCAGGGGTCAAAGGGGACCCCTGATCACTATCCTAGGGACTGTCTTCCCCTCCATTTCCTCAGAGACGTCATCCCTTAATTGTCCTAGAGAGAAGAGGGGGCCCTCAGAGGAAACTCAGGAAAACTCATGCCATTCTCCATTCAAGGGAGGGCGACATTCTAGCGCTGATCCCATTTTCCTCCTCTTCTCGTGGGAGGCCATCCCCGGCGACCTATAGGAGATGGGGAAGGCTCCCCACTGCCCCTGGTACCCGCGCGCTGCAGCGTCTCCTTCCCGTTCTCCAGGTATCTGCGGAGCCACTCCACGCACAGGCCCTCCAGGTAGGCTCTCCACTGCTCCGCCTCACGGGCCGCCTCCCACTTGCGCTGGGTGATCTGAGCCGCCGTGTCCGCCGCGGTCCAGGAGCTCAGGTCCTCGTTCAGGGCGATGTAATCCTTGCCGTCGTAGGCGGACTGGTCATGCCCGCGGAGGAGGCGCCCGTCCGGCCCCACGTCGCAGCCGTACATCCTCTGGAGGGTGTGAGACCCTGGCCCAGGCCCCGCGGTCAGCCCCGTCCCCCGAGCCCCGCCCCGCCCCGACCAACCCGCGGGGATTTTGGCCTCAACTGAAAATGAAACCGGGTAAACGCGCCTGGGGCTCTCGCCGGTCGAGGGTTTGGGCGGGTCCCGCGGCCTCAGGGGGGCGGATCTCGGACCCGGAGACTCGGGGCGACCCGGGCCGTACGTGGGGGATGGGGAGTCGTGACCTGCGCCCCAGGCCGGGGTCACTCACCGGCCTCGCTCTGGTTGTAGTAGCCGCGCAGGTTCCGCAGGCTCTCTCGGTAAGTCTGTGTGTTGGTCTTGGAGATCTGTGTCTCCCGGTCCCAATACTCCGGCCCCTCCTGCTCTATCCATGGCGCCCGGGGCGCCATCCTCGGACTCGCGGCGTCGCTGTCGAACCTCACGAACTGGGTGTCGTCCACGTAGCCCACTGCGATGAAGCGGGGCTCCCCGCGGCCGGGCCGGGACATGGCGGTGTAGAAATACCTCATGGAGTGGGAGCCTGGGGGCGAGGAGGGGCTGAGACCCGCCCGACCCTCCTCCCGGCGCGGCTCCCCGGGTCCTGCGCCCCCGCCTGCGGTCCCCTCGCTCCTCCCCACAGAGGCCATTTCCCTGCCGACCCCGCACTCACCGGCCCAGGTCTCGGTCAGGGCCAGGGCTCCCGAGAGCAGCAGGAGGACGGTTCGGGGCGCCGTGACCCGCATCTCGGCGTCTGAGGAGATTTTGAGTCCGGGTGGGTGCGTGGGGACTTTAGAACTGGGACCCCGGCGACACTGATTGGCTTCTCTAGACACCCGACACCCAATGGGAGTGGGAAATGGGGACGCGTCACGAGTATCCTGGAAGAAGGACCCGACATAGGTTGGGAGAAGAAGTGAAACTCGTGGGAGTGGGGAATCCCCAACGCTGCGCCTCCCCAATGCAGACAAGGCTCTCGGAGCCTGAGACCCTGAGAGCCCCGTCCGGGACCTGGGACTTCGTCCTGATCCCTCTTCTCCTACACCAGCCTCTTTGTCACACTGTCTGCCTGAGTCCTGCACAAGGATCTGTCTGTGGAAACCAGGGAGAGACCCCCAGGCTGCGCCCACCCGCTTCCCCTTCACTTCTCCTCCTGGAATCCCTGTCCCTGAACTGGACTCCCTGCCTCTCACTCCTTACCTCTCCTCTTGGATCTTGTGTAGGGAAACTGATCACGGAGAACTTGATGCCAGAGAGTGAGCTCGCCCTGGGAATGGAGGTGTAGAGACAGGGGTTTTCTCTCTAAACCTGGCGAAGTTTTGTCTGAAGCCACCACACAGAGATTCTCATAGAGACCAGTTTCCTTTTTGTTTATTAATACAGTAGGTAGCACAATATTGGTAATCCCTGAATGATTAGAATTCCAATCTGCAAAAGACCTGTGTCAAAACAGCATTACAATTAAACTCTCAAAGCTCCTAAGTTTTACTTTACCAGACTATGGATCTGTGACTCTGGGTTGTTGCATTTAAAATTATCTTCATTCCCCACCCTGAGTTTCCCTGTGTGAGTCCAGAACATCTCCTGAATATAAAGAAGCGGGTTTTGTTACTGTCTATTGCAACCGGGAACCTGTAGTCATCACCTCAAAGTTGCGAGGGCTCCATGCAGTCCCAATGCTCTTCACCAGCGCTCAAGCACTGCCTGTTTTCCTGAACTCTGCACATCCAAGCAGTGTGCATATTTTATCTGAACACTTGGTATTTTTGTAACTCTTTTTTTTTTAATCATAAGGAGCCAATTAGTTTTTAGGAAGTCCAACAAAATGTATTAAATACCGAATGCAAAGAACCCTCTGCCAGGCTCTTCCACTGCTTTAGAATTCTTTCTCCTGCTCCTTTTCCTCACCTCCTGCCTCTCCAGCCCTTCTGTCTGCCCCTCTCATCCCTCACACCACCCCCCCCTTAGTCCCTGCCACCCTTTCACTCCTGAATTGTGGCACTAACACTGTCCCTCACCTCCTGCCCATATCTGTTCTCCCCACAGTGCTCAGCAGTTCTGCTAATGTGACTCAGGTCATGTCATTTCTTCACTTACAGTGGTTGGGTTTTGGTCTACCATTTTGCTATATGTTTTCAATTTGTCTCATATCTTTTTGTTTCTGTTCCTCCTTTACTACTTTCTTATGTGTCAAATAAACATTTTTTAGTTTATGGTTTTAATTCTCCTAGTGGCTTTTGGCTATATTTCTTTACACAATAGCAAAGAATGGAAACCCGATTCCTTGACTTTTCACAGTGAAGTTCAGGTTATATTAAGCTGCATCCAGAAAATAAAGGACACTTCTAACAGTGTAGTTTCTTGTAACCTACCATTGTGCTATTATTGTTGTATATATTACATCAACCTATATTATAAGCTCAATGATACAGTGTAATACTTTTTGTTTTAAACAAGTAGCCATATGTCTTCAGGAAATTAAGAAAATGAGTGTGAATGTGACATGTGTATGTGCATCATTTCTGTTGTTAATTGTTCCTTTCTGTATATCTGGGTCACCATCTAGTATCATTTTCCTTCACCCTGAAGCACTTCCTTTTAAATTAAATGTAGTACAGGACCCCTAGGAAATTAATTTTATGGCTTTGATTATCTAAAAATGTCTTTATTTTTGCCTCCCCTCCCCCCCTTTTATTTATTTATTTATTTTTGCTTATTAGGGCATTTATATGTAATAAAATTCACCAGTTTTAGCTGCGCTTTTTTGGCGAATATTGGTAATTATTTATAGTCATGTAACTACCACACTGCCCAGTAGAGAAACCCAGAATGCAAAGAATCCCCTGCTAGGCTCCTCCACTGCTTTAGAGTCCTTTCTCCTGCTCCTTGTCCTCACCTCCTGCTTCCCCAGCCCTTCTCTCTGTCCTCTTCCCTCACACCCTCCTCTCCCCTTAGTTCCCACCACCCAGTTACTTCTGAGTTGTGGCGCTGTAGAGAACTGTTTCTTTTCCCTAAAAACTTTCTTTCTGCCCCTTTCTATTTAATCCTTGCCTCCCACCCTCACCCCTTCCCTTCACTCAACCACCACTCTGTTTTCTGTCACTGCAATACTGAAATTTCTAGAATGTAATGGACGTGCAGTCTTATGTTATGTAGTCCTTCGTTTGGTCTCTCCTTTAGCATAACGATGTTTGAGATGATGCCATTCACTCATTTTTGTTGCTGAGCAGCTGCTGAGTATTGCTGGAATCCCAGCTTATTCATTGGTTTCTCTGCCTCCAGTTGATAGACATGTGGATTCCTCCAGTTAGGGCTTGTTATTAATGAAGCCACTATAAATAACTGCTTACAAGTGTGGCCTTACATTTTTATTTCTTTTGGATAAATACATATTTGTGGAATTGCTGGGCCATGTGGTAATAGATGGGTAACTGTATAAGAAACTGCCATACCACTTTACAAATTGGCTGCCACATTTTTTGCATTCCTACCAGCAATATCAGACATTCCGATTTTTTCCATATTCTTGACAGTATTTAGACTTATCCAATGTCTTTTTAACTTTATCTATTCTAGGTGATGTGTGATGGTTTCTCATTGTGGTTTTAACTTGCACTTCTTTGATGACTAGTATTGTTTGCTGTCTTTTCATGTTCATCTAAGTGACTTATTACATATATTTTATGAACTATTTTGCAAATTCAATGATTAATTCCAGAGACTTTTTCAGAATTCCCTAGTGTTTTCTACATATGCAATGAAGTTGGTGACAAAGACTTTTGTTTCTTCCTTTCCTATCTATTGATCTTTTTTCTTTTAAAATTATTTTTATTTGGTAGAGATGAGGTCTCACTATCAGGCTGGTCTCAAACTCCTGAACTCAAGTGATCCTTCCACCTCAGCCTCCCAAAATGCAGGGATTACAGGCATGAGCCACCATGCCTGGTCCTTCTATTGGTTTCTTATTTCATTTTCTTGCCATGTTGCACTGATTTGGATGCCTCTTAGGTGTTTAAACAAGAATGATGAGAGCTCACATGTATGTTTACAAGGAGCTTAAACAAATTTACAAGAAAAAAAACAGCCCTATCAAAAATTGGCAAAGGGTATGAACAGACACTTCTCAGAAGAAAAAACATATGAAAAAAAAGCTCAATATCAATGATCATTAGAGAAAAGCAAATCAAAACCACAATGATGTACTATCTCCTGCGAGCCAGAATGGCGATTATTAAAAAGTGAGGAAACAATAGATGCTGGTGAGGCTGTGGAGAAATAGGAATGTTTTTTCACTGTTGGTGGGAATGTAAAATAGTTCAACCATTACGGAGGATGGTGTGACCATTCCTCAAAGTTGTAGAACCAGAAATACTATTTGACCCAGCAATCCCTTTACTGGGTATATACCCAAAGGAATATCAATCATTCTACTATAAAGACACATGCACAGGTATGTTTATTGCAGCACTATTTTCAATAGCAAAGACATGGAACCAACCCACATGCCCATCAATGATAGTCTGGGTAAAGAAAATGTGGTAGATATACACCATGGAATACTACACGGCCATAAAAAGGAATGAGTTCATGTCCTTTGCAGGGACATGGATGAAGCTGGAAGTCATCGTCAGCAAACTAACATGGGAACAGAAAACCTAACACCACGTGTCCTCACTCTTAAGTGGGAGGTGAACAATGAGAACACATGGACACAGGGAGGGGAACAACACACACCAGGGCCTTTTGGGGAGTCGGGGGTAAGAGGAGGGAACTTAGAGGATGGGTGAATAGGTGCAGCAAACCACTATGGCAGACTATACGTATGTAACAAACCTGCACGTTCTGCACATGTATCTGGAACTTAAAGCAAAATAAAATAAATTAAATAAAAAGAGAAAGTGAGTGACTTACATGTACACATATGTTCATTGAAGCACTATTCACCATAGCAAAGACTTGGAATCAACCTAAATGCCCATCAATGGTAGACTGGATAAAGAAAATGTGGCACATATACACCATAGAATACTATACAGCCATAAAAAAGAATGAGATTACGTCCTTTGCAGGAACATGGATGGAGCTGGAGGCCATTATTCTAAGCAAACTAATGCAGGAACAGAAAACTATATACCACATGTTCTCACTTATAAGTGGGAGCTAAATGATGAGAACACATGGGCATGCAGAGGGGAACAACACACACTGGGGTCCACTTGAGGGTGGAGGGTGGGAGGAGGGAGAGGATCAGGAAAAATAGCTAATGGGAACTAAGACTTAATACTTGGGTGGGTACTAATGGGTATAGAAATAATTTGTGAAACAAAACCCCATGACACAAGTTTACCTATATAACAAACCTGCACATGTACCCCTTAACTAAAAATAAAAGTTAAATTAAAAAAAAAAACAAAGAAAGTGCATGTCTGGAAAGAGCGTATGGTTGGGTTCCGTGTTTTTTTAAACCAAGTCACACAATCTCTGCCCTTCATTGGAGTGTTGATTCATATAGGTTTTTGTCATTATTGATATGATAAGTTTCACGTCTACCATGTTATTTTCCCGGTTTTTGTTTCTCTGTTCCTCTTGTCCTGATCAATGACTTTTTATTAGAAACCATAGAAACAAAAGAAAGTAGAATAACATCTTTAAAGTGCTGGAAGACAAAAAGATCAACTAAGAATTCTATATCCAGCATAGATGTCCTTCAAGGATAGGCAAATGAGATATTTCAGGTAAAAGAAAATTAAAAGAATTTGTCACCAGCAGATCTGTACAATTACAATTGGTAAAGAAAATTCTTCAGACTAGAGGCAAATGATACCAGGTGGAAAATGAGATTATCAAAAAAGATGAAGATGATCAAAAATGGTAAATATTGAGCTAAGTGCAAAAGGCTATCTTGCTCCCCTCATTTATTCTTACTTTATATACATAGAACTGTTTAAAGATAAGAAAAAGTTTTTTATCATGGGACTTACAACCTATATAGATATATTACATACAATATCTATACCATAAAAGATGGACATTTTATAGAGGATAAAAGGTTGCAATATTTCTATATTTATGGGCACTAGTACATTATTAACTGAAAGTAGTCTGTGAAATGTTAAGAATGAGTTAAGTTCTGAAGGAAATTGAGACACTAAAATCCATTCAAAAGATCCACAAATCTCGGAGATGGTTTTTTGAAAACAAATCCTAGCCAGTCTTGAGTCTCATCATCCTACGATTTCAGAACTATCGTGAATATAAAAGTAATCAAAGAACAGTCCTGCCCAGAAAGAGGAGTTATCCCTAAATATGGTGTCCCTGGGACAGCTGGCCCTCCCTGCTGGACCTCTTCCACATGGATGCTTTCTGCAGTGACTTTGTTGTCTTGCTCTTCCACTCTACCCAGTGTCCTGACCCAAGAGACAAGGGGCATCTGCTGCTGTGTCCACACTTGGAGAAGGAAATCTTGAAGGTGTCAGTACATTACAAGCTGGGCATGAACAGCTCACCCCTGTAATCCCAGCAATTCAGGACGCTAAGGCAAGAGGATTGCTTGAGATCAGGAGTTGGAGACCAGCTTGAACAACATTGTGAGAACCTCATCTCTAAAAGATATAAAAATAAGTAAACTTAGCTGGGCATGGTGGTGGGCACTTGTATTCCCAGGTATTGGGGAGGCTGGGATGGGAAGATCCCTTGGGCTTATGGATTCAAGTCTGTAGTGAGCTGTGATCGCATCACTGGACTCCAGCCCAGACCACAGAGTGGGATCTTGACTCAAAAAACAATAACAACAACAAACATTGTAAACCTTTGCTCACCATGGGTTATTTTATTTATTATTTATTCAATGTGTATTTTGATTTTATTTTACTGGCAGCACAATAAACCAGGACCTGCTGAAACTAGAAATCACATCCACTTTCCAGTGTTAAAAAGCCCAGTCCAAGCAGGTGAGAAGGAGACAGTCCTCATTAGCGCTGAGGATTCAGGGAGAATGAGATGGGCTGGGCAGGAAGGATTTTTTGTTTGTTTGTTTGTTTGTTTTCTATGAACAAGTGTAACTTTTTATTATGATAGAGTTGTTTTTATTAAAGGAATACATGAAAATGGTTAAGTAAAATCAAATGGCTCCAAAAGTCTTACAATGAAAACAACAGTCCTGCCAGTTGTTCTCTCGAGAGGCAAGCACTTTTCATTCTCTTAGTTTTTCCTCCTGGTAGTTACCTTCATAGGTTTTTCCAAATTATTATTTTTTTAGTTTTTCAAGTGGGTGCATATATTAATACATGTAATTTTAAAAAGGCTCTTCAGTTTATAACACACCCTAACAGTCTCCTGCCCCATCCCTCCTAATTCTCCAGAGCAATGACTTTTAACTCTTTTAGCAATGTCTTCTATTTTTTTCTCACATAACTACTTAGTCATTTCTTGATTTTTTATACATTCTATAGTAATTTCTTGATATGACAGATGAGGATTTAGCTCTTACACCATCACTACCTTCACTTTTCCCCCCATATTGTCCCAAAGTAGTTACCAGATTTAGGGGCTAAGTAGTCACCACATCATTATGAGTATGTACATATTGCTCATTGTTGAGAAAAACAGAGTATTATGCTCTTGCTTCCTGTCTTGTGCTTCCTTCTGCCCTAGAATTAATGATTGCCTAACCACCCTTCTCCCTTGTTTTTTTTTTAACTTTTGCTTTATCTTCAATGAACTACTTTCCAAATGCCCCAAATCTGGCAATAACCTATTATTATTTTTAAGAGAAGGGAATCTTACTATGATGGCCAGGCTGGTCGGGAAATCTTGGGCTCAAGCCAACCTCTTGCTTAGCCTCCTGAGTAGCTGGAACTACAGGCATGGGCCATTCCACCCAGCTAACCTATTAATATTTTTACTGTTTCTTTTTAAAGCCAGCTCCATAGCTGGAATATTTCCTGAGTTGGATCCTATTTGCTGGATCCATGTCATTCTCTGGTTTGTCTACTCCTTCATTTTGCTGGAGTATTTTCTCCAATAGTTTCCCAACAAAAGATACATGGAGGTAACCCCTGAGTCTTTGCTTGCCTAAAAATGTATTATTTTACCTTCACCCTTGATTATTTGGCTGAATATAGATTTATTCGTTGAAAATAACTTTCTTTCTGGAATTCTGAAGGCATGGTTCCATTGTTTTCAGCTTCTTTTTCGAGACAAGGTCTCTTCTGTCACCCAGGCTGGAGTGCAGTGGCACAATCACAACTCACTGCAGCCTCGAACTCGCAGGCTCAATTGATCCTTCCATCTCAGCTCCCTGAGTAGATGGGACTACAGGTGTGCGCCACAATGCCCAGCTAACTTTTGTATTTTTTGTAGAGATGGGGCTTCACCATGTTGCCCAAGCTGATCTCAAGGTATCTGCCTGTCTCTGCCTCCCAAAATGCTGAGCCACTGTATTACAGGCATGAGCCACTGTGCCTGGCC